>NC_000009.12:36676666-36828181 GCF_000001405.40 Homo sapiens | reverse complement strand
ATGGCTTCCAAGTTTACCTCGTTTGTCTGCATCAGGCCTGCAAAAAAGGAGAGCACGGAGGATCAGCCACTGGAGAGTGTTCATGGGCAGGGCTGAAGTGGTAGATATCATTTCCATTCACATTCTAGTGACCAGAACCCAGTCCTGTGGCCCTACCCAACTGCAAGGAGGCTGAGAAATGCAGTCTAGTTCTGTGCTGAGGAAGAAGAGGACATGGGTCTGTGGGACAGCTAGCCAAGCAGTATTTTCATGACACTCATGAATTCCAGAATTTCAACCCCAGCTTTGCTCAGTTCTTTTCTACCAACTCTGGGGCAGTGGAAGGCAGAATAAGTTGATGCAAAACAATGGCATGCATGTGCCTGACCCAGCTCAGCCCCCTGCTCCTCACCTTTGTCCTGCTCTCGCGTGAACTCACGCTGAACCCGGGCTTGGAGAACAAGCACATTCCTGGCCTGGAAGAACTGAAGGGAGTCCCAGGGCTTGTCGTCCTCAGCCCTGCTCTTGGTCTACTCTGATCTTCTGCCTTGCTTCTAAACATAGGACTATTTGGGTTGAGTTGTGAGCAAGAATGTCAGTTAGCATTTACTGAGCACTAACTATAACTATCTGCCAGGCACTGATGCTTAGTGAAAATTTTCCCATTGTCCCAGAATTGCACAGCCAAGGCCAAAGCTGAAAACTGTAATTTCACAGATCCTCCAATAGTTGGCTCCAGTCACCTCCTGCAGGGTGGGGAGGTGACAATTCAGAGAATGAACTTGACCACTCAATAACACCCCCTACTCACCCCACCACCACCATCACCACATAAGTAAAGACTGAGAGAGGAAGAGACAGTCAGCTTGAGGAAGATGCAGATTCAGGAGAGAGGCTAGTGGGCAGGGCTGCTGTTTCCTCTGCCCAAAGCCAGGGGTCAATGGCTTTAAGAGACTCCCTGGGAAGTTTGGAGGTACCTTCAAAAAGGGGAGCCTGAGATTTCACCTTCTGTATGGGCATCTGCTTGGCCAACAGATTTGGTAACCTGCCCTTACATTTCCTGAAACAGGGGAAAGGAGAATGGGTAAAGATATGCATGTGCCTTGTGAGCTGTGGGACACCATTGATGAGAGCCACCCTCCCACTGCCCAGTGGGAACCCCACCCCAAAACCCTCTCCCTGGAGCGGGAACATCTGGAAGCTGTGCGGTGGATGGTCTTTGATGAGGGTTGGGAGAAGGAACAGAAGGAACAGAGCCACGTCTCCCACCATCCAGGACCTGCCTGCAGGGGTCAAAGAGGGGAGGCACATGGGATTACCAAATGAGAATAAAGACAACACATCCTACAGACATCATGACAGCCCCCAGTCAGCTGAGTTTAAGTCAGTCAAAAGGGAAACGATCCTGAGTGGGCCTGACCTAATCAGGTGATCTCTTTAAAAGAAGGTCTAGCAGTCAGAGAAACAGATGCCTTCCCTTTGGCCTTGAAGAAGCAGAGGGTCAGGCTGTGGAGAGGACCACCCAGCAGGGATTGGTGGGCAGCCCCCTAGGAGCTGAGGGCTTCGGCTGTCTAACCGCAAGGACCCAAGTTCTGTCAACACCCAGGGAATGTGGAAGAGGACCCTAGCCTTAAGTGAGATGACAGCCCCAGCTGGCACCTTGATGCAGCCTTGTAAGACCCCAGGGAGAGGACCCAGATAAGTCACACCCCAACTCCTACCCCACAGAAGCTGAAATAATCAACGCATGTTATCTTCAGCCACTGGGTTTCTGGTAACTTGTTATGGAGCAGCAGAAAACCAATGTAGTTTCTCCACAGGCTGCCAGAGCCACAGCAGGGGCCGGTCGGCCCCGGGTGATGGCAGAGAACTCCGGCGTCGGATTATGTTTGAGATTGAAATTTCAAAAAGAACAGGACAGAATGTTAAATACCAAAACGAAACTGTTCTAATAACTGAAAGTTATTCGAATGTTCTGGAATCTGACCAAGATGTCAATAAAGGTGCCACCACCCTACCAGAAATGCGAGAAGGAGGATAGTTCCATGTAGCACAGCTGGGGGTGGGGGGGGGAGGGGGGAATTAACTCATGTCATATTTACACGCCAAAGAATTAAGACCCCTTTATAAAATGGACTTCACATGCAGGCTCTCACTTACTCCTTACAATAACACTATGAGGTCCTGACAATTATTACCATCCTCACTTTTATGGGTGGAGAGACTCAGGCTGAAAAGCCCAGCTATCTCACCCCAGGTCACACAGCTGGTAAGCCGTGGCCAAGACTTGAAGCCAGGCTGTGTGTGACCCCAGGTGGAGGGTCCCCAAGAGTCGCTGCTGCCCATTCAGCCCACAAACTCCCAGCACCTGGGCCCTGCAGCAGGTAGTGAAGGCTCAGTGGAGATGGGAGGGCATTTTCTTACCCTTCACAAGAAAGGCACCGGCTGGTGACACCTCCAGGCAGAGTCTCCAGGGCTCTTCTCCTGCTGCGTCTCACCTAGGCAGCTCTGATGCGGCTGGAAGTCGAATCCAGGAAAAACTAAAATTCCAGTAAAAATCATGGATCAACTGGGATGACTTGAAACTGCTGTCAACATCTGCATTTTAGAATGAATTGCTGGCTGTCTTCTCCTTCTTTCAGACAGTAAACACTCCTGGATATCTGTTCCATGCCAGGGTCTCGGATAGGCACAGGGACCCCAGGGACAAAGAGGAACAGGCATGGTCCCTGCCCTCAGGGAGTGCCCCATGTGGTGGGGCGGGGGAGCAAATCCATAGCCGTACAGCAGATCTGTGAGTCTATGAGCAGTATCTCAGGAGGTAGACACTGTGGGTCTGGTGGGAATGACAGGCTCTAGTGCACCGCACGGGAACAGTGGTGTGTCACTGGTAACCAGCACCTTTCCTGAGCAGGTAGGATGTGCTTTTGCCACCGTCCTGCAAGGAGCGTCTGTATGTTCCCCAGATGAGGAAATGGGTTCAGATCAAGCTGTCTGGGGAGGAGGTGAGCACCCTGTCGCTAAGAAGCCCAAGCCGGAACTGGATGTTTACTTGGCAACACCAAAAAGTCTCATCTGATAGAGACTGGACTGGGGGCCTCTATGTGTACAGTGGGTTTTCATTTTGGTATTAAACTTTGGTGTTTTTAAAAAAAGATCATACACACACACCCAGTTAAAAAATTCAAACAGGGGCCGGGTGCGGTGGTTCACGTCTGTAATCCCAGCACTTTGGGAGGTCAGTGCGGGCAGATCACAAGGTCAGGACGTCAAGACCAGCCTGGCCAATGTAGTGGAACCCCATCTCCACTAAAAATCAAAAAAATTAGCCAGGTGTGGTGGTGGGCACCTGTAATCCCAGCTACTCAGGAGGCTGAGGCAGGAGAATCGCTTGAACCCAGGAGGTGGAGGTTGCAGTGAGCCGAGATCACACCACTGCACTCCAGCCTGGGCGACAGTGAGAGACTCTGTCTCAAAAAAAACAAAATTCAAACAGAACAAAAAAAGTAGGCAGTGGGTCTCACTTCCACTCCAACCCCGAGGCTCCCAGGTCTCTTCTCCATGACTCTAGTCGCTGTGTATTCTTCCAGAGATAATTTATGCATATGTTATATATGCATATACATAGAGATATTGCGGGTATGTGTGTATATACACATATCTCTTCATTTAAAATATTCTCAGAGTCTCGTTTCTTTGTAAAATTTCATTTTGAGGAAGTCCAACTTTTTCTTGGCAAAGCTAGAAAGAATAGTATTTTTTTTCAAATCCATGTTAAATATTTATTTTACTGCCTGTAGTAGTCAGAATTAGATCAGCTATGAACGACTGAAAAATCCAGAACAGCAGTGGCTAAAACAGGACAGATTGTCTTCTCTCACATTCAGAGTCTGGAGGCCAGCGATCCATGGCTGATACAGCAACTTGGCCGAGGAGGCCCACACGGACCAGACTCAGTCATCTGTGGCCCTCCTGAGGCTGTGTCCCTCAGCCCCAAGGCCCAAGATGGCAGCATCAGAATTCCAGACAGCAAGACAGAGGAGACAAAGGAAAGAGAACCTGCTGTCTCTGAGTAAGGTTCCAGGAGGCTGGCACCTGGCACTTCTGCATGTATGTCATGGACCAGAAGCACATACTAAGGCCACATCTGTCAGCAAGGAAGGCTGGGGAAGGGGATCTCTACTCTGAGCGGCCCTGTTTGTCCAGCTACAAATTCTGTTATTCCGGGAAAAGGAGAGACTGGATATTGGATTGTGAGTAGCAGTTTCTGTTCTATCTCCATTGCCCAGTTGGTCAGAGTAGAGACACATTTCTTCATTTATTCAACCAATTGTTATCGAATAAATATTTGTTGAATTAAAGGGAGATGGCAGAAGGAGGGACTTGTGTGGAGATAACAGAGGACCCAGATCTGCTTCAAAAACTCACAAGGGACCAGCTAAGACCACCGGCCTCGAGCCCTAGAGAGAACTATTATCACCTTGCTTGTTTACTCTCATACCTATATCAGAAGGCCCTCACCCAGGACTCAGTCTTTCCATCTGAGCAACGGGGCCGGAGATATGAGTTTGAACCACATGACTTCCAGTCCTTCCATCTCAAAATCTCAATGAGTGTGTGGTTCTAAATGACTCATAGTCAAGGGACCAAGCATTCATTATGAAGCCTGAAAGTCAAAGGCGAGAGTTCAAAGACACCAAGGGCCCCTTGGAGCTGGCCTTCCCTGTGGTGACCCTCATCCCTCAAAGGGCCGTCTGAAGCCCCCAGGCACATTATTCTGCTGAGCCAAAGAGCTAGGTCTCAGTGAACACTAGCATCTACCCAAAGACTAGGCAGAAAGTAAAATACAGCAGACTGCCTGTCAACAGAAGTTTTCCAAAGGGGAACTATTAAAAATGGTAACTTGCGGGTTCATAAGGTCCAAACTATGGAGGAAGGAGTGTGGCTTCTGCAAAGAGAAGTCTGCCTCCCTGATCCGCGAGGCTTTGAGGAAGAATGATGTCTGAATGAGAATAAACCAAAAGATGTTATTGTTTAGTCTTCAAATGGCTTTGGAGACATTCCCCAGGAAATCCACTAAAAACACAGAATTTTTCAAGAAGTCTTGGGACATTTCCTCATGATTAACACACTGGCTTAGGGAAAGAAAAGCCAAAAGTAGGGGAAAATAGACTCTTCTCTGAATAGAAAACAGTAGCATTATCTAATTCTCTAGGGACTGGAATTAACTGGTTTTAATTAATATTTGGTAGTTATTAGGGAGAATTTCTTGTGAGAAAGGAGTTAAGCCCATCAGAATTAAGTAAGGCTCTGGAGGGGCTGCCAGGCTACTTGGAGGTCTGAAGTGAATCAGGTGAGCTTCAGTGGGGAAAAAGAACTCCAAGCTATGGGCTTGGGAGAGTAGAAGACACAGTTCAGGAGCCACGTGGACATTAAGGCTGCTCGGGAGCTCGCCAGAAGCTGAACCTATGCTTTATCAAGGGACTTTCAAAATAGGGAATATGCCCATGGGATGTTTGGCTAATCACAGTTGTGGGTGTGTGGACACAATCACAGCAGTACTAAAATGTAGAGACAGGGAGGCAGCTAAACTCTGTGGTCCAGTCCACGGTTCAGAAGCATCTTTCAGTCCCAGGCCAGCCAGCAGCTGCTTCTCCTTCTGCCAGGACACTAGGGTTTCTATCCAACTTCCCCAGCAATGCTGAGCCTGGCGAGGGTTTTAATTTTCTATCTTGATGAAAAATGTGTGGTTTATACACTGTCGTAGAACAAATAGAATTGGGATTTATGTTTCACAACTTCCATGGTTTGTTTGGGTTTCTTCCATATGTCTTTGACAGTCCTATCACATTTCTGACAGTTATGATTTTTTTTTTCTTTCTGGGAAGTTGGGGAGAGGCAGAGAACACATTTTTCCCTTTTTCCCACTAAGTCTTGCTTGAAAGTATGTGTGAGCATCATATGGGCCCGTGCGTGTGCCTCTCTTATTGAGAAAACACGTGAAAGTGTGTGTGCAGGCTGTGGGGTTACATGTTTGTGTAGGGGGCACTGGGCTACAGTGTGTGGACATGAACATGTTAAGTATAGTGCTATGTATTGGATACATGTTTGTGATGTGATGGTGGTGGTGTTTGTGTGTGTGTGTGTGTGTGTGTGTGTGTGTGTGTGTCTACAATAGAAAAATCAGCCAATTAGGTGTTATTCTAATTCAGATGTCATCAATGACCAAGCCTCTCTCTTCACAATGTCATGCACGCACGTGTGCCGGGCCTGCCAGCAGTTGGGAAGGGTCAAATTGTTCTCCATGCCCCAAATTCCATGTGTTTTCAATTACTTTCACATGTGTGTTTCCACGTGTGGTGTTTTAATTATGTAGGTGAAGAAAATGTCTCACTCCCAATTATTGATCGAGGCCCATCCCTTCACTCTGTGCGGCAGAGTCCTCCTCACCAAGTGTCGTTAAACACGACATCAATCCCAATAGATTGACTAATTCCTTTTTCATTATTAGAACAGATTTACAACTTTGGAGTCAGGGTGTTGGGTGGGTTTTCTTTTCCCACTAGAAAATTCATCTGTATCCTAGAATCAGCTTGTAGCTCAATGTAAATTCAGTGTAGAATTTAGTCAGTTATTAAGTGGATGTAAGTGGCTGAACCCTGGTGTAATCTGACCAGCAATGCATGAAGGAAAGAGTTGGAGGTGTAAAAAATGTCAAATAGCTTTCTCAGATGCATTAAACTATTAATAAAGATAAAACGATCTTTATGTTTGGGGTTTAGAACATCTCTTTTATGATAGCAAGAAGCCACTTTGATTCATGACTCGTTGGTTTCAAGGTCTGGTGTCATTATTCAGAAGGTGTCAGGAAGGAAACAGAGACAAACTCCTCAGCAGGAGGAGAGGTGAAAAAAGAAGCTCGGAGTGCAGGACTGCTCTTGCCCCGCTGGGTTGGGCAGGGAGATGTGACAGTGAGGGGACGAATACAAAAGGCAGTGGTGATTGCGTCCACACCATCAGAGCCCTCTGTAGACGCATCTCCATTTGGTCCTGAGATATGTTTTCCGTGGCTCTTCTGAAGAGGTCACGGCCTCCCTCTGAGGGGACTGGTGTGCTGGGTATTTTCCATCTGCCCCCAACCCCACCAGCTCCATGGCTCTCTTCAGCCCTGCTCTGCAGCTCAGGAGGTTGATCTCTGCGGACCACCTCACCCCGACCCCCTTGCCCTCTAGCTTCTGGTGGGATGGATCCAGCCAATGGGAGGCAGCAGAAGACTGGAGAGAGGGGAGTGAGAGGCGGATAATTTATCCCCACTCCCTCCTTGCCTCACCCCAGTTCTGACAGTGGCTGCCTTCAGGAGTTACATCCTCTTGCAGCCCCTCTTCCACGGCTCCCGGTCTTCCTCCGGGTTCTGGCAACAACATTCCATCCCCTTGTCCTTCAGGCCTCAGGGTGGTCGCAGCTCCCCGCTGGGGCTGCACCCTCCCACGGTGGCTTCCTGGGCCCTGCCAGTTTGCACCACGGTACGCTGTCTCATCGTTAAACTCTCCTCCCTTAAACTCTTTGAGTGGGCCGACCATTTTCTCCCGAGAGGCCCTGACTCAGAGGAGCCTGATCCTCCCAGGGCTGTGTGCCTGTCAGGGATGGAAACAGGAGCTGGGGAGTCGTGCAAATGCTCCGGGAGAAATGTCGATGCACGGCTGCCCCCGTGGCCGAGGCTTCTGCAGCATGACGTGGCACGCGCTTCCTCTATTCCTTTAACAAGCCTTGGCTGGGAGGCTTCCAGGGGTCCGTTTCCATGCTAGGCAGGCGCTGTCCTCATGGAGTTTACAGTCAGGGGTTAGGTGCTACTGTGGGAGGCACAGGGCTTTGAGCAGCAGAGGAGGAGAGGAGCTGGGTGGAGGGGCCAAGAGGAAGGAACAACCAAACTGAGAATCCGGAGGACGGGAAAGAGATGTCTGAGAAAAGGAGCTGGGGGAGCGACGCAGGGACAGTGGTGTTTCTGGCAGAGGAAACAGCAGGTACAAACCCCTAGAGGAGAGCCAGATCAGGAGTAGGGGGCGGGGGCATTTGACAGCTGTCCCCCCTGCCCGGGGACCAGGGAGCTGAAGTGCATTCACAGAGGAGAGGTCGGGGAGAGAAAGCTGTGAAGGGGGCACTGGAGGACTGCAGCCCTCCCTGCCCCACCCCAAGCCCCACTAAGGGGTTCTGTCTTTACCTTCAGGGCCAGAGGGCCTTTGGACACAGCCAGATTTACATTTGTAAAAGAGCCCTTGGTCCACAGCGTGGGAAATAGAAATCCGGCAGGAGGCAGGTGACTCCTTCAGAGGAACTAAGGTATGGTGAGCTCGCCAGCCGAATGGGGGAAGTGAACCCACACGAGTGAATCTGAACCCCCATTTTCCGGACGCGGACACAAGGCCCAGAAAGGGCCAGATCTTGCTCAGGTCACACAGAGAGGCAGCATACTGGGATCAGGGAGAGGAGAAAGGAGATAACCAAGGGCTGGAGCCACCTCGTCCTGGAAGGAAGACCCCTTCAGAAGGGATTCCCGGGGCAGGCCCTGGCCACCCCCGTGTTTCCTTGCAGGGCTGGGGGGGACCTTTGGATCCACTAGACCCCACCCTGGCAGGACCTGAACCCTCACCTGGACGCACCCCAGGCACCTCCACCGGCATAGGTGACAGGAGCTTCCCACTGAAATCATGCGAATATTAAGCTAATCAAAGCCTTGCTTGGGAAGGGATGGGACTGGGAAGGCGGCCCTAACGAGCTGCTGCGTGTCACTCCCTCCACCCTGCGCGTCCTGCGCTGTCCCATTTGTCTGGCTGTAATCTACATTTCAAATGATTACATGGGAAGCTGAAGTGGTAGTGACAAGGATAAACGAAGCTTGTTAAACTAATAGCTGCACTAATGCCCAAATATGTGAACTTCCCGACGCAGGCCGCATCCCAGCCTGGCGGAGCTGTCAGCCCCGCTCCCCCGGGCTCCGCCGCCAGCCGCGGCCACATGATGAATGGCCCTGTCGACCAAACTCATCCGGGGCCCAATTAAACAGGCAGAAATGAACTGGAGCCGTCAGGCAGCCGGGGAGGGGGGACGCGGGGAGGGGGAGGCTGAGCCAGACACAGAAAGGCTGGTGGGGGGGAGGGGAGAGCAGAGAGAGAGAGAGAGCAAGAGAGAGAGCCCAGGCCTAGGGGGTGGGAGAGAGAGGGCAGCCTGGGAGAAGAGAGGGTCAGAGGCCCAGGAAAGAGAGAAGAGACACCAGGGTGAGAGCGGGAGGAGAGAGACAGAGACACACAGAGATAGACGGAGACAGAGAGACCGAGAGACTGGGAAGGCAGAAGGAAGAGACTCCCAGATAGACACAGGGAGCGGGGAGAGACAGTCAAAGACACACACAGAGACAGAGAGGCAGAAGCACACACAGAGACAGAGTGAGGAGAGACAGCTGGAGAGAGGCACGCAGGACAGGTGGCCCAGGAGTGGGGGCAGAGGCGTTGCCGCTGGAGGGGGCGGTCCAGGAAGGGCCAGAGGCACGGTGGGGGGAATGGACGAGAAAAGAGGGCGCGAAGAGAAAATGAGTCCCGGCAAGTCCTGGCAGCTCGCAGCGGCAGGGAAGTCGTTCTGTCAGAAAATGGTCATTTAATGGTTTGCCGAGCCCGCGACAGATATGTCATCTGAGGCGGCTCGGCGGCAGTCCCAGGGCATTTCATTTATTAATTACCAGCTTCCAGCAGCTCCCTCGTCCCTGCTCCATGTCGTCACCAGCCCGGCCCCCCTACTCCCTCTGCCAGCAACAGCCCCATTACCCCGTTCCTGTTGGTGCCTCCCCTCGTCCCATTTTCCGGAAGAGGCGGCCCAAGGCCAAGGCCAGAGAGCGTCAGGCCTGCCAGCTGTGGGCCAGCCTCCCTCCCCGGGGGGCCTCCTCGGCTGGGCCTCCTAGACCAGGGTGGGGACCCCAGTCCCTCCCCTGCCCCAAGCCTAAAGGGAAGCGGGAGGCCGTGACCTACGTGCTCTCCTTTTCTCCTTTCGTAGAGACAGGGAGATCTTGTGTTGCCCAGACTGACTTTGAACTCCCCAGACTCAAGCAACCCTCCCGCCTCAGCCTCCCGAAGTGCTGGGATTACAGGCGTGAGCCACCATACCTGGTCCACATTACACTTTCTCATTCACAAATAAAATACTGTTTTGCTTGCCTGATAATTTTATATCTTTTTTTCTTTTTATGTAAACTCACTTTTACAGCCTTCAGATCTGTTCTTTCCCCCCTCTTGGCAGTTCCTAAGCCCTTTAAAGGGCCTTAACTCTGATTTCCTTTCATTCAGACCCAAGGAGCTTGTCTCTGTTTCCAAGCAGAGGTAGGTGCTAATATTCTCTCAGGTGGCCCCTTGCCCATGTGAGAAATGTTCCATCAGGAATGTTTAGTAAACTAGGAATGGATGCTCACAGATCGTGCTGGTGGCCAGCCCTGCCCACTGGGCAGACTGCACAAGGGAAGCTGGCACCTCAGCCACCCTCCCTTTCCAGCCTCCAAACCCCACCCTCCAAGATGGCCTGGAGCTGCCTCAGAGGAAGGGAACTGGCAGGGTATCTCTCTGTCCCCAGAGAGTCAGGGACGACTCTGGGCTGCCTAGGTCCCCAGTTGGCCACACTCCACAGGTCCTACTGCCCCCCAGGACCCCATGATCCAGATCGTTCCCAGAGGAAGATCCACAATGGAAGTGAAGTCCTTGTTTTTTGTTTGTTTGGGTTCCTTCCTCCCTCCCTCCTCTCTCCTTCTCTTTCTTTCTCCCTTCCTTCTTTCCTTCCCTCTTTCTTTCTTTCTTTTGTTTTTCCTTCCTTCCTTCCTTCCTCCCTCCCTTCCTCCCTCTCTTCTTTTCTTTCTTTTTTCTTTTCTTTTCTTTCTTTCTTTCTTTCTTTCTTTCTTTCTTCTTTCTTTCTTTCCTTCTTTCTCTTTCTTCTTTCTTTTTCTTTCTTTTTTGACAGGATTTTGCTCTGTCTCCACCGAGGCTGGAGTGCAGGGGCATAATTTTGGCTCACTGCAGCCTTGACTTCCTGGGCTCAAGCAATCCTCCAGTCTCAGCCTCCCCACCCCTGAGTACCCGAGACTACAGGCACACACCACCACACCTGGCCAATGTTTTTTTGTTTTTGTTTTTGTTTTTGGTAGAGTTGAGGTTTCACCATGTTGCCCAGGCTGGTCTTCAAACTCTTGGGCTCAAGCGACCCGCCTGCCTCAGCCTCCCAAAATGCTCATGAAATTCCTGTTTTAAACAGGATGCCTGCTCAGAAATGGTGGCACCGACTAGAGTGGGGTAAACTCTTTCTTTCAGAGGCCCAGGGCCGGTAAGACATTGCTGAGGCCTGTGTTGGCCCTGGCATGAATCTGGAAGGTTGGTCTGAACCTCCCACCTCTACTACCTGAAACCACCAGAAGGCTCCCTGCACATCCCATGTCCCCAGGTGCCCAAGTGAACATAGCTCCTTCCCAGAGCCTCCCTGGGCTCCCCATCCCAGCCAGCAGCACTTGCAGCCCCACCCTCCAACTTGAGCATATCCTGTACCTAATGTGTCACCAAAGGGGGCACAGCCCACCTTTCAGCCTTCCCACCTGTCTATCCCCTATCAACTCCCCAGCGCAGACATCTCTCACCTCCTTCGGGCTTACGGTTCTCCTCCACACCACACCTGGGTGACCTTCCAAGGGGCAAAGCTTCTCCCCTGACTCCCTTCAGAGGCACAGAATTCAGGCTCCTTTTCAGCCTTTGAGATCTTGCCTATTTTTTTCCTGCTCCTGCCACTGAGCTTTTAGCTCCCTCTGACCTCTCTCTATCTCTCTCTCCTCTCCTTCACCCCCAACACTGGGGCCTTGGCACACAATATCCCCTCTGCCTGGGATCCCCTTCTGTGCACTGGGACCTGTAGGGAAATGTCACAGGTAAATTGGACTGTCAAGGAGTCCAAGGATGGAAGTGAGCCCAGTGTCATGGGCAGCGGTTTACAACAGCGACTGGAGGAGCACTCTCCTGGAGTCGGGGAGGAGCCTCTAGCATAGGATGGGAGTCTTGGCTCAGGAACCACTCAGGACCTTCCAGCCCAGGTCTCTGACCCTATGCATCTGCTTCTTAGAAATCATAGCTGGTAATCGCCCTTTTTGTGGGTTCCTGTTAGTGGGGCCAGGGCCGGGAGCTTCCAGAAACACTGAATTTTAGTTTATTCCTAACCTTAGCACAAATGATATGCTCCAGCAGTCCTCAGAAGAAAGCTGGTGGGGACAGAACTCACCTGTTCCTTGTAGGGGCATCCAGGGCTCGTGGGGACAATGAATGTCTCCTGCAAAGAGAATTAACTAAGAGCCAGCACTGTAGGAGTGGGTCAAAGTCCATGAGGCCTACCAGCAGACATCACCCTTCTCACAGTAAAGATAGGTCAACTGAGGTCCAGAGAGAGGAAAGGAGTTGCCCAAGATCACAGAGTGAGCCAGAGGCAGGCCCAGAGCCAAAGCCCAGGTCACATGAGTTCCCACCAGGGATCTTCCCGCAACATAGCAGAACCACTGTCCCCTTGGTGTCAAAACCCTATGGGGGAGCAATTGGATCCCCATTGAAAACAGAATTCCTCAGCTTTAATTAATCTTGTCATATGAAATAAATGACCATGACTGTTTTCAAAAGCTCATTAAAATATATTTTTATATATTTATTAT
The DNA here is from genome assembly GCF_000001405.40 of Homo sapiens. Classification (NCBI taxonomy): domain Eukaryota; kingdom Metazoa; phylum Chordata; class Mammalia; order Primates; family Hominidae; genus Homo; species Homo sapiens. The sequence continues at coordinate 36,815,490 of NC_000009.12, read as the reverse complement.
TATTATTTCTTGAAATGACCTGGGCTCCCAGATTTCTGGGATGAAGACTGTGATTTATAAACACTCTCCCATGGATCATTTCTTGTACGGTGGACAGCCTGAGAAAAGGACCATAAGGCTCTTGGGTTATTTTTGTTAGCTCAGATTTGCTTCCACTGGCGCTCTGTTCTCCTTCACTGTCTGTGATTTGGCTAGAACTGCCAGTCAGTCTCAGGACAAGCCTGGCCACCCATAGTACCTCTTCCCTCTGACAACAGTGATTGGTCCAAGAGATGGGCATGTGAGCCATCAAGACCAATCAGAGTGCTTCCCTGGGACTTACACACATAGAAACTCCTTCTTCCTGCTGCAATGCCAGGCTAGAGCTTTCAAGGGCTCTTTTCTTTACCTGCGCTGAGGAAACTCAATAGCAATGAGAAATAATGAGGTCAATATACAAATGGAAGCAAACCCAAGAAATGGAGGGAGAAAGAGAAACCCGATCACTTGGTTTAGGCCCTAGATTCAGCCATGTCTGAAGCCAGTGCCATCCCCTGGAGGTACCCAGGGTCATGGGCCAATTAATTCTCTTTATTCTATTTTTTAGATTGATTTGGGATTTTCCCCCCTTGTACCTGAAAGATGTTCCAAAACAAGTACAAGGCCTTTCCTTCTGTCCGCCTATTTTACACAATAGTTGGCATATACACAGCCCCCTCCTCTGAGACACTTTGGGTACAGAGCTCACACACACACATTCTTTCATCACTGGGGAAGAAGGCCCCAGTAACAGGCCCCTGTGTCCCTTCCTGCCTCTCCTGCACTGTCTTCTCAGGGTGTTGGTGTTTCTTCTTGTGGGCAGAGGAAATTTCCAGACCACTGGAAGTCCTCTTTAGGCTCAAGGGGGGCCAGAGGCTCTGAGATGTTTTTGGGTTATGCACAAGACTGTTTCCAAGAGGGACAAAGGAGTCTCTTTCATTCAAGTGTTCTGATCACATCACTCTCCTATTCAAAAGCCTCCAATTACTCCCTACTACCAATGGGGAAAAGTCCAGACTCCTTAGCCTAGCAGTCTATGCTCTTCACAGTCTGCCCTGAATTCCTCATCCTCTCTTTCCTACCTCTGGGTCTTTGCTTGTGCTGTTCCTCCTCCTTCCTCTGGAACACCCACCTGTGAGAGTCCCTCCTGTCCTTCTAGGCCTGGCCCAAGCACTACCTCTTATAAGCAGCCTTCCTCACTCCCCTAGTAATAAGGCAACTTGTTCTGGGCCTCCTAGGACAGGCATGTTATCTGCCCCTCTTTGTGACTTATCATGTAGTCTGTCTTGCATTAAATGTATTGTTTATTTTGCCTGACTTGCTCTCTCTACCTCCATCCTGTCTCCAGACTGGGTGATTCTTAATTTTATCTTTTAGGTCTCAACTCAAAGGTTACTTGCCCAGAGAAGCCTTCCTTAGCTGCCTCCCCCTGAAAAAGTCTCTTCCCCTTGATTTCTTGTGGTCACTGCACTCTAAACTCTTTTTCAACAGTACTTATTGCATTTTATGGTAAAATATTTATTACTATTAAAAGTATTTGATTAATGCCTGTATCCTCCTATTAGAACATATGCTCCCTGAAGCCTGAGACTTTGTTTTGTAGCTAGAGTGGCACCTGAAACACCAGTCAAAATTAGTGGAATCACTGCTGGTAGAGTCAATGACTGAATAGGTATATGAATGAATAAATGAAAGTCTCCCCCAGCCCTGTACTAAATGGCAGCTTGCTGGGGTCAGGGACTGTCAGTGATCTTTATATCCTTCATTGTACCTCACATATAGTCATAGTAAGTGGTCAGCAAACATGAATTTAACCATCAGCAGGTGCAGTTTATAGGAGTTCCTGGACTCTACCCATGGCTATAACATGAGCCAGAAACCTAGGGCCCCAATCCAAGCTGGGTCAAGAATTGAAAAATTTTAATAACCACAAAGGATATTCCCAAATCCAGGCATACTAGGGCTGCAGAAATGACTGAAACAAGCCCCCCTGCCCTTGGGAGCAAATAGTACAGTTGTCCCGAGTGAGTTGTTCTGACCCATCACCTCTCCAATGGGGTATGACATCGTCCTCGTTCTCGAGTTTTACTGCTACAAGATAGGCTTACTCAACTCCTCAGTAAATAGCATTACATAAGCACCATGCGCGCACACACATGCAAATCCAGAGTGGACAATAACCCCAGGCGTGTTGGAGTGTTTGATGGGACGACCGCGGGAAAGCAAGCCAGGAGCCAGTTCTAAAAAACAATATTTATTTATTACAATTGGCAGAGCAATGGAGAAAATTGCCACTTAGATAGGATTTTACATTTTGCAAAGCGTTTTGTAATCAGCACAATTTCTCCCAACAGTTCTCGAGGGCAAGTTGTTTTTGTCATTCCCATTTGCAGGCAAGGAGGAGATAGTAGGAGAGAATGAGGGAAGTACTGTGCTTCTACTTACACAGACCTCAAGAGGAAAGGAGAACTCTGGCTTAACTGAATATAAGCATTTTTTTTTTAGAATATCTACTATGTGCTGGGCAATGGGGAAGACCTGCATAAGATTCTGGGCCTTAGCTCACCACTGATTTCTCTGGGGGTGTATGCCCTTTGTCTCATCCAGAGAAGAAAACAATATGTAATCTTACATTGCCTCCACTTAGTGCTTTGCTTGGCCACCTCTCTTTTGGAAATTCACATAAGTTACATCAGGCTAGGTAATGCTGCTGTAACAAATAATCCCAAAATCTCAGTGCCTTAAGACAGCATTTTATTTCCACCTCAAGCCAAATGTCTGTTGTGGGTCAGCAGGAGCTGAGGGGAGTGTTATGCTCATTGTAGACCCAGGCAGAAGAACACCCACCTGTGAGAGTCCCTCCTGTCCTTCCAGGCCTGGCCCAAGCACTACCTCTTATAAGTGGCCTTTCTCACTCCCCTAGTAATAAAGCAACTTGTTCTCGGCTTCCCCGGACAGGCATGTTATCTGCCCCTCTTTGTGACGCTGAATGAGTGTTGTGCTCATTCAGAGACCCAGGCAGAGGAAGTAGTTTTCACCTCAAACATCATAGGTAAATGTGCTAGAGGAAAAGAGAGTTCTGGAAACTCTTGCATTATCAGTAGTTCAATTCCTTGGTGCAGAGGTGACGTATTGTTTCAGGGCTTACTTTTTGGCCAAAACCAATCATACAGGCCCACTTACCCAAAAGGCACCCAGGAATTGCAAATCTTCTGTGCCCGGAAGATGCAGAGGACTGGCAATACTTCACAAACAGAACTAAAAACTCTATGCAAGTTGAAGTTCATCCCATGCCAAGAAGAAAAATTAAAGCCAAATCCTTGAGTGTGTCCTTACATCTGGAAAAACACCAACTTTTTAGGGAAAATGGATTTTTGCAACTGATGGATTGTGCTTTCTTAGGAAGGAGAAAAACCTGAGACCTGTGCAAAGACTGACTTGTACCAAAATCAAGAGTGTCTTGAGATGCATTAAAGAGAAAAAGCCTACCTGGTGCAATAAGACAAGCAAAATAAATTAAAAGACATATAGATTACAAAGGAAGAATTAAAGTTGTCTTTGTTTTCAAATGACATGATTGTTCATAGGAGATCCTAAAGAATCTACCCCCAAAAAACCTACTAGAGCTAATAAATGCATTTAGAATAAATCGATATACAAAATAAATATAAAAATCAATTGTATTTCTGTACATTAGGAGTGAACAATTAGAAAATTATATTAAAAATAAATACTATGTATAAAAGCATTCAAAAACATCAAATGCTTAAGGAGAAGCTTAAAAGATGAAAACCTTCTACACTGAAACTATAAAACAATGCTGAAAGGAATTTAAAAGACATAAACAAATTAAGCAAATTAACAATTAAATTTTAAAATCATGATTGAAAGACAATATTATTATAGCATCCATTTTCCATAAATTGATTTAAATACCAATTTCATCCCAGTCCAAAAGATTTTAAAATTTATTTGGAAAGGCAAAAGACCAATAATAGCCAAAACAATCTTGAAAATTAATTACAAAATGAGGAGACTTATGCTATCAGATTTCAAGACTTACTATAAAGCTATAACCATCAAAACAGTGTGGCTTTGGTGAAAGCATAGACAAATCAATGGAACAGGATGGAGGATTCAGACATAGGTCCACACATATATTGTCACTTGATTTTTAACAAGGAAGCCAACACTGTTAAATGGGAAAGAAAAATGTCTTTGGCAGATGGTGCTGGAATAAATGGAAATCCATATGAAAACAAAGAATCTTGGCCCCATCTCACACCACACACAAAAATAAATTCAAGCTGAATTACAGACCTAAAGGTAAAAGTGAAAAAAATAAAGTTCTTAAAGGAAAACAGAATATCTCTGTGACCTTGGGGTAAGCAAAGATTCCTTAGAAAAGACACAGACAGCATAAATGATAAAAGGAAAAAGTTGAGAAAATGAATTTGATCAAAACCAAAACTTCTGCTCATTAAAAAGTACCATCAAGAAAATAAATCGGGAAGTTACAGAATGAAAGAAAATATTAACACCACAATTATCTGACAAAAGACTTGTATGCAGAATATATAAACTCCCACAACTCAGTAATAAAGACAGGCAGCAGAATTTATTTTTAAAAAGACAAAAGACTTGAGCAGACATTTTACGGAAGAAGATATATATAAGTGGCTAATAAGTGTACAAGAAGTCACTTAGCATCATTGGTCATCAGGAAGATGCAAGTGACAATGAGAGATCACTACTTACTGTCTAGAATGGCTAAGATGATAAAAGCTGACAACACGAGACGTTGGAGAGAATGTAGAAAAATCGTAACTCACATATAGTGCAATTTGGAATGTAATATGGTATAACCACTTTTGAAAACACTTTCATAATTTCTTGAAAAGCTAAACATATATCTACCCTATGACCCAGAAATTTCATTTCTAGGTATTCACCTGAGAAATAAAAACCTATGTCCACAAAAAGGCTGGTAGGAGAATTGTCGTAGAAATTGTATCCACAATAGTTAAAGAATGGAAACAACCTAGATGTCTATGAACAGGAGAATAACTAAGTAAGCTACAGTATTGTCTTCCAGTGGTATCCTCACGAGACAGACACAGGCAACAATATGGATGAATCTCAAAAATATGATGAGGGAAGAAGCCAGACTCAGAACGCGTATAACATGTGATTCCACTTATTCTAAAATAGGCAAAAGTATCCTGTAGTAATATAACTTAGATTCGTGGTTGTTTTGGGGTGAGGGTGAGGATTGCCTGAAAAAGTTCTGATTTAATCTACTTTCATGAAAACTGATGAGACAGACTTAAGATCTAAACAGTTCATTGTATGTAAATTATACCTCATGGGTCAGCCCCTATCAGCAAGGAAAGCCAGGCAATAATGTCCTCAAGATGTTCCAAATAATATCATGGCTCCATCACTAAGTAAAAGGGGAGAATGAATATTGGGATGCCAGACCTTGTTCTCAGAGCATCATACATTTGTTCATTTAATCTTCACAATGACCATTATTATCCCCACTGTGCTGATGACAGATCTCTGCTACAGGAGGTGTTGAAACTCAATGTCATGGCATATGGAGACTGGTTGAAGGAATCAGAGATGTTTGATCTGGAGAATATAAAATTGAGAAGACTCAAGAGTTGATCATAAATTCCTGAAGATCTCAGGGCAAGGAACCAGAGTTCTTCTGGGTAGCCGCAAAGGGTGGGGCTAAGATCAACGGAAAGAAGACGGTGTCTAGGTCTGGTTTCATGAGAGGAAATAACATCCTCCTAAGCACCATTAGCCCTTCCCCAGAGCCCCACAAGAGTCTAGTGAAGGAGAAATGTCTGATAGTATCCCCAGTCTACAGACAAGGAGGCTGAGTCCAGGAGAGATCACATGATTCGTCGCACACTCAGTGACAGAGCCAGGGTGAGATCTTAATGCTCCTCCCCGGTCACTCAGCCTGTCCCCATTTGAATGGCATCTGGGAGGCAGTAAAGTTCAATGTGGAAACTCTGGAGTCACACACAGACCTGGGTTAGTGTCTCCACCACCAACAAGCTGGGGAACTTTGGATTAGCAAACCATTCTCAGCTTAATTTTCCCATCTGTAAAATGGGAACCATAAAAATGGTAGCTCTCTTAAGACTGAGATGAGGCTCAGTTGAGATAATGCATGTGACATAGCAGAACATCTGGCACATAGTAAGTGCTCATGAAATAATGGTTATTATTGTTTGCCTCGGAGATTCAATCAGTGGCATAGTACCTGGTACCAATGACCTTGACGCAGCCTTAAGTTCACATCCTGCAAGATGGGAAACATCTGGATCTTGTGCAATGTTTGCTATGCCAAGGAGGGTTGGAGGCCTAATTAAAATTGCTACTCTGTTTGCATTATCAAATGTCAGAGTTTTTTTTTTCTTCTCACAGAGCAAAGATTTTTCTTATCAAAAATCTATTCGCTAAAATGCTAATCATCGTCAGTGATTAGAAACTGCTGCTCAAATTTTGAAAGTTCCCAGTGGGCCTCTCAGACATGGCTTGTAACTTGTCAGTTGAAGAAATGTTCTCAACAAATCAAACTTTGCTGTATATGTTAAAAAAAAAAAAAGAAGAAGAAGAAGAAAGAAAAAGAAAAGAAAAGAAAAAAAGAAAAAAGATTTCATTTCCTTAATGCTTCACTGTACGAGTCCAGCAGGGACTTTTGAGTTAAGTGACAGAGACCGCATTATTAGTTGTGGAGCCGGTTCTAATAGAAGTCTCTCAAGGCAAGATCGTCTCAGGCCCCAAAAAACTGCTAACGAAAGCCTGTCAAGCTTATCTTAATTTCAACGAGCATTTAGTTTGCCAAAAAGAGGCACAGCAAGCAATTTTCTTTTATTATATTCTTTTTTGTCCTTCCTCTCCTTTTTCTTCTCCTGTGCCTTCCTCTTCAGGAGGAAACATCTGCAAGGATGTTTCCTGAACGTGTAGCCAAGCATCAGATGCCATCAGCTTGTTCTCCGTGGTCAGACCTGGGTACCTGGGGCCTCCTGGGCTGTGTCTGCACAGCCCCAGCAGAACCAGATGGGCTGATGATGTGGGAGGGCGGGAGTCACTTCACCCTGGGCTCTTAGCTGCCCTGGCACATGTGGACACCAGAAATCAAAGGCCTTGCCTCTCACAGGACCTCACATACTGCTCACCTGGTCTCTCTAGGGTGGTCTCCAGGAGATACATGACTGGACTGTGGCGGAACTCTCACTTTGGCCACAATGAGAGATTTGGTGTCCATTTATCTCTTAATGGGGCAGCTCCGCTGGAGGTTTTAAAGTCCAGGGAGACAGTCCTGAGTCGTGTTTGGAGCACAGATTCTGCAGTCAGGCAGGCTTGGCTTGGGCCTAGTCTCAGCTCCACCACTGTGCTCATTCATTCAAGAAATATCATTGAGTACCTATTATGAGCCAGGTCCTGTGCTGGGAGCTAGCAATAGCGAACTGAACGAAATAGGTACTGTCCTTGTCCTCCTGAAACGTGCAATCTGGTGGAAGAGACAATAATCAATTAAGCAAATCAATAAATTAAATAATTACAGACTCTGATTAGTGTTTTAAAGGAAATCAGTGGAGTGCTATGAGCAATGGTTCTTGAAGTGTGGTCCCCGGACCAACAGCTTCGACATCATCTGGGAGCATGTTAGAAGTGCAAGTTCTGGGTACAAAAGCAAAAATAGAAAGAATGCATAAGATCTAGTATTTGAAAGCACAACAGAGTGACTATAGTCAATAATAATTTAATTGCACATTTAAAAATAACTGAAAGAGTATAATTGGATTGTTTTCAACACAGGATGGGGCTTGAGGTGACAGATACCCATTTACCCTGATGTGACTATTACACATTGTGTGCCTGTATCAAAATATCCTACATGCCCCATTAATATGAACACCTTTTATGTACCCACACAAATTATAATTTAAAAACTAAAGAAATGCAAGTTCTCAGGTTCCACCCCCGACTTACTGAGTCAGAAACTCTAGGGTGAGTGGGGCAACAACCTGTGCCGTAACAAGCCCTCCAGGTGGCTCAGGTGCATGCTCAAGTTTGATGACCTCCGATACAGAATGATGAGGCTGCCAAAAGCCTCTTGACTGAGGGTGGTGAAAAAGGCCAGCCCGAGGAAGTGATGCTCAAAGAGAGGCCTCAGGAATGAGGAGGACCCGTGTGAGGAGTTGGAGGAAAAGTGTCCCTGGCTGTGTGGTTTTGGACCTCAGTTTCCTTATCTGTGTATTGGGGATGACAATAGTTTCTGCCATCATAGGGCTGTAATGAGGACCAGTGGCTAAAGGGCTTAGCAGGCTTTGCAAAAAAGTAAGCTCGCTGTTAAAGATTATTTTTCTTATTTAGCATATGATGCCACCAGGTCCCAGCTCTTGGGGGACCTGCAATACTAGGAAGGTGGCAAGCAGGCTTCTGGGAGGCCCAGTCTTCAGGGGTCTGTGCTGTAGTGTCAATAGAGTCAGGACCTCAGATACAAGCAACAAAGCTTCCAGGGGTCTCATTCCAACTTCCACTTAGCATCGGGCTCCACCCTCCATCAATTTTTTTTTTCTACTTGCAAACAACTCCAAAGTACCAGGGATTTTGTGCATTTTTAAAGCAGCACAGATCCTGGTACATCATCCCAACAAGATGACGTGGGACACTTTCATCTTCAGGAAGAATGCTTGGTTAAAAATCAGAGAAGTCCCATCTGTCCAGCCGGTCAGCAGCCATGCCATGAATCTTGCCCGAGAGCCCAAGGTGCACGGTCGCTGACCTCAGGGAGCTTGTGACCTAGTTGGGGGATATGAGACACACAAGCAGCTGCACAAAACACGAGGTAGAAAATGCTATTAGGGAGATGTCGAGCATTCAGGGGACAGGGAGATTGATTCCTGCTGGGAGTTTGGGGACACCTTCCTGGATGTACGTTCCCTCGAGGACATCCATCATTTCTTGCAGGAGCTTCCAAGTCTAAAGAGCTTATTATTCCCTCCTACACCACTTGGGACTGTAAATCAAAAAGTCCAGTTCATAGAAATCTTCAATTCTTAAGCAGAGAAGAGAGAGGCTCAAAGTTGGTTTAAACTCCCTGCCAGCCCTTTGGAAGGAGAAGGGGAAGAAGATCTTTGAAAGCTGCCTCTGTTGTGTTTATTTCACGATCAGGAGGTCCTTAGGAAATATCTAGACCAATTCTCCCACTGTAGAGATGAGAAACTGAGGCCAGAGAAGGAAGGGATGTTGCCAAGGTTACCTGCTGAGTCAGGGGCAGTGCTGGGACTGGAATCCCGGCCCTGTGGCCTCCTGTGGGGGTAGGAGCTGGGGCCGCAGGAGGTTTGCCTGAGAACACTGGCCTGGACTTGCTACCAGGACCTCCTGGGACCCCTGTGCTGGGTCTTTTTGCTCTCATCAATTACCACCAATTTCTTGTCCCTGCATCCAGAGCTTAGGCCCACCCAGCTAGAACTGTCTTCTGCCCCAGGGGAGCCAGACAAATGCCCAGAGACTGAGGCAGGGGCCAAGCCTCTTCCTTGTGTACTTCCTGCTTTTGCCCTGTTTCCTGGCCTCTGACTGCTTCCTTAGCCCTTGCCCTGGACTTTGGCCCCAGAGGATCTGGGGCCATTGTGGGGTGGGTACAGTTTCTGTACCTTCTGCTGCCAGTGTCTGCTCCCTCCAGACCCCAGCTCATCCGACTCATGCTCCTGTCACGTCTCCTCTCCCTTGGCCTGCATGGACCTCTCACCGCGTAGGTCCTTGGCTCTCACCTGGCTCTTCTGGCCCAGTAAGTGATGCCCCTGCTTCCCATCCTTCTACAGCTTCACCAAGAAGAAAAACACCCACATAGCATCGAGAAAAACTACCACATTTAGCCTCGCTTTAAAATTCAGGTAAATTAATACAGCTAGAAAAGAAAAACAAAAATGTAGGCTTGATTAGTGAAAATTTTACTACTTAGAATTGATGACATGAACTGAGGTTAATTGATCATCCAGGTAACAACACTTATTTGCATCATGACCACGTGTCAGCATCACTTAGTTATGAGTTGAACTTGATGATACCACTGAGCTCAGGTAAAGTATCCTGGGCCTTCATATTTGCCACATAGTTTTGTCACCTGCTCCCAGTTTTAATAGTTTGGAAATGTTTGGCCATATTCCAAAGTCATGGCAGTTGTTGTGGTCATGAAATTATGTTAAAGGGTAACACAGGTCATCTATATCAGCCTCAAACCCAGGGAGGGAATCCCACCCACACCTCGCTGGGAGTGGTCACCCAGGCCCATTCTTGAGGATTTCTGGTGGCAAGGAGCTTGCTATCAACAAGGAATTCTGATCTTTGAGTAATGCCAATTGAGTGGAAGTCCTTCCATAGATAGAGTCAAAATCTGCCTTTCTGTGGCTTACACTATCAATTACATCATCAATTACACCATCAATATTGGTTGTGTTGATCTAGACGTTAGTGAAAAGTCTTCCACATGACAGTCCCCTCAGTATTTTAAGATGCTGAGATTGTGAGACCCCAAGAGGCAGTATAGTATAGTGGATAAGAACCTACTTATTTGGGTTCAAATCCTGGTTCTGCCACTCACTAGCTATTATTATATTGATGGAGTTATGTACTCTCTCTATACCTCAGGTACCTTAACTATAAAATGGTGACCATAGTGTTTACCTTTTGAGTTATTGAGACAATTAATGAGCTAATATGCCTAAGTGCCTGGAACATACTCAGCTCTATGTGAATGTTAGTTACCGCTCTTTTCTTAGTCTCACAGACTAACTATTCTCCATTTATTCCATTTTTCCCCTTAAAGATTACTTAAAGCTCCTTCATATGGAAACACCTTAGGAGTCCTGCAAGTTTCTCAAATTGGGTACAGAAAACAATAAGGCATTGTTATAAAATTAAATGAGTTATTTCAAGCAAGGCTCTGAGTACAGTTGCCTGAAACATAGTTAGCCTCAATAAATACTTGCAGTCATGGTTATTGGTGCTTATTGAACTATTCTACAATAGAGACGAGAAATTAATGATATACATGTCTCAAATCTAAGTGACTTTTGAATAACTTAGACGTGTACCTAAGTGAAATGTCTTAAATAAAGACTAGGCATGTGTGCAGAAAACTGCTCTAATTACTCAGCTCCTGCAGACACATTCCCGTCTTTGGAGACTCACAAAGTCTCAGTTACCGTTTCCCCTCAGGTATCGCGCTTCACGGTGATGAATGGGAACTGAAACTTGGAATGGAAATGCTGTTTCCATGGGACTGCGGTGGCAGCAGGAAAGGCATTAGATTAGTGTTTGAAATGCACAGTCTTGGAGAGGAAGCCGGAAGCTGCCTTCAAGAACACCCCCAGCTCAGCCCTGAGACTCATGGAGGGAAAGTCTTTCACCAGCAGGAAGGAGTTCCAGGAGCATCAGGGATCGATCTCGGGGCCACCTCCAAAGCAGCAGCTCCCGATACAGCTGTTCCAGACACAGCAGCTTTTTCCAGATAAATCAACCTTGCTGTCTCAGAAATCCCAGAAGCAACAAATGCTATACTTTTTTCTCCTTTTTGCCCACATCTTTTTGTTGTTGTTTTGGCTGTCATTGTTTGAGTGTGACTATATTTCACCTAGACTGCTGCATGCATTATCTCATTAGATTCACAATGCTCATCTGAGGTTGGTAGTTTTATTCCCATTTTACAGATAAGAAAGTTGAGACAGATTGTTCACAACTATTTCAATTCTCACTTTTCCACACTCTGAGAAGATGTGCATGGCCAGACTAGCTTTGACCAGTGGAATGTGAATGGAAGTGAAAGAGCTCACTTTAAGGGCAGTGAGTGAATTACCATGCCCTGTTCACATTGCCTTGGTCATTGCGGAAGGAGTAACAAGAAGTTTCCATAAACCTGGGTTCTGGAGTTACTACAATGAATAGAGTCCCCAGCAAATCTTTAATGAACACGCAGCATGAGCAAGAGATCAATCTCGGTCATTTTAAGCCACTTAGATTTCAGAGCTGTTTGTTACTGCGGCATAAGCTAGATTATCCTGACTGATACAGAAGTGTTCCATACCATGCCGAAGGTTACAGAGGTGTGGAGCTGAAATTTGAAGCCAGGTTTGTCCTATTTTAAAGTCTGTGCTCCACCCGCTACATTATTACACTGCCTCCTTTCTTTCTACCTCCTTAGTTCTCTGCCTCACTGCCTCCTCACCCCAGCCTACCCACTGGGCAACTATGCTCAGAGTGTAAAAGGGTCTCACTCCACTCCGCTTAGCAGGAAGCACTTCCCTGCCCTCTGGAAACACTCCTGGGCAACCATGGTTTTTACAAAGGCACGCTGAACTCCAAAGGCAGGGGCGGAAGTGGATGGAATTGCCTCTCACACTGTTCTACCCTCTTGTACTTGTTGCTCTCCTTCCCATCCCGAGGGATCCTTCCCCAGAAAACTCCAGTCTCACTGGGTTCCTCATTTTATGTCTCCTCAGGATTAAAGGCTGGCACTCAAGGCCCACCGTGAACCAGTTCCTGCTTCCTTTCTAGTTTTCATTCCTGTCTTTCCTCTGCATGAGGTCCCAGGCACAAACATGTAGGAATTCCCTCCTCCCTGATCCTTTTCATCTTCTGACAGTCACACACACGCGTGCACACACACACACACACACACACACACACACACAACACATCAGTTGCTCCGTCCCTCCATTCCCAGCCCCTAGTCCTCGCCTGCGTCTCAGTGTGAGTCACTCTGCATCAGCCTGGTCTATGCATGCTCTGTCTCCCCTCAGACTGAGGCGCTCAGGGCAGGGACTACATCTGATTTCTTTCTGTGTCCCCAGAGACCCCATAAGGTCTGATCCATCCAGAGTGGGGGCTTCTGACATAACAGCATAGGACGCTAAACACCAGCTGCCCAAAGCCCGAGCTTCCATAGTGGGCAAAAAAAGGGCATTTTGCAACCTTCCCTCTGTCTCCTTTGAATGCGATCCAGCTGAAACAAACAAAAACAAACAAAACGTGCTCTTCTCTCTGAGCCCCAGGCTGGTTCTCCCCGGGCACTGTGCTTTCAAACATCATCTGCTTTCCCACTCCAAGCTCTATCTATCATCTTTGCCAGAATCTGTCCCCGAGGGGCTGTGGCACGAAAATAGTCAACATTTAACACAATCAGAGCTTGTTCCATGGTGGGGGTGGGCAGTGTGTGTGTACTGGCAGGGCTGAGCACACGGCTTGTCTTCTGAACTGAACACAAACGCCTAAAGACGGGATTCTCTCATGAGACCGTCCTCCTCCTTCCCCCTTTCCTATTTTCCTTTTATAGAGGAGGCAGGGCAGGACAAATGCAAATGGTGGCCCCACTGGAGTGCCCGCTTCTCCCGTTGTCAATTGTGCCTCTAGATTCTGGCATGTCTTGGCCTCATTTAAGGGTTCTCACCTACCCATCGCTACATAGCACTCAGTGGCCAGGAACTGGGAAGATACGTCGGTACTTCTTCATGCCTTCAGTAGCAAACATTGTACTTGAGCGTTCCGTTTATAGAAACGTAGCTCATGGTGCAAAGTCCTAACCTAAAGAATCCCAGTGGAACTTCAGGTGGGCTGGCATGTTTAAAGAGGGGAGAGAAGGGAGAAAGAAGATCAGAGAGGGACAGGTAAAGTCAGTCAAAGTGGTGTCTGTGTTTAGGCTGTCCTTTCCTTTCAAGTCCCTGGTTTCTGGTTTCAACACCTTTACTTAGAGGCCTCAAGAGGAATGACAAGGTGGGTATTGGAGACCCAGTGCTCGAGTTCCTCCACAGCGACGTCCATGCCCAAATAAATAATATTTCTGTGCTTGACCATGGCCAAGGGCATGCCCCGGGGCAGTTCAGGTTAGGTAGTGTGAGACAGAGGCAAGAAGGAAAAGCCAAGTGAGACAGTGGCTGCCTCTTGGGGTTCCCTTCCATCTTCTCTTTGCTCTTCCTGGGTGGACACGCCCCTCTCCTCCCCATGTGTTACTCCCTTGGCACTGAGCTGTGGCCGCAGAAGTAGCCATAGCATGCCTTACTGACACTCTCTAAACACCCCCAAACATGAGGCTGAGACACCTACTTACAGTCGCTCCTTGCAGGTACTGATGTGGTAGTACAGAGATAGAATAAGGTAATCAATGAAGCTCCTACTATCCCCAATTTGCCACAAAAACAACGAAGCTCCAGTCACTCTGCTCCAGGTGACACTGAACCTCCTGTGAGATGGGGTGGCTTCCCCCAAACCACCCAGAAACAGGCTGATTGATTGAGCTGAATTCATTTTTCCTCCTGACTACAGGGACAAGTGCTTACAAATTGAATGAAATTGATGCACCGTCTGCAAGTGGAGTTATTCAATTTTCAGCGGCCGCATTCTGAGCCTTTAGCATGCTCCTCACAGTTTTAGGGCAAATAATATTTGTTTTCTTCCTGCACAAATATGAAAATGTTTCCGGCATTCTGAAAGCTCCTCTTTTGGGTATTTGCACTGAATTCCATTTCTGTAAGCGTTTGCTGAGGCTATTGGTCCAAAAGCCAGCAGTTGGCTGGCGATCCTTGAGTGCTGTATGCCAGGCATTTTAACATGTTTGATCTCATTTGACCCCCTACAAGAACCCTCTGAAGGGGACTATTTCCCCTGCTTCCCAGATGGGGAAACCGGGACTTGGAGAAATGGCTTGCCCAAGGACACACAGCCAGTCAATACTGGATCTGCCTCCAAAGCCAAGCCCTGTTGTGGGACTCCTCTCAACCATGAGGTGGTGCAGGTCCATAAAAGGCGTTGGCCAGCTCCAATTTGAGTGGATGGTGAGTCATCAGAGCCCAGCTTAGGCATCTGCAGAAAACATTTATGAATGAATGAATGAGTGGGTGAATAAATAGACAACTGAGGGAATCTCTAGGACAAGGCTCCCATCTCCTCCCTTCCGTGCATCATAATTCTGCTTTTCTGACACTGCCCTGGGAGCCCTGGACCCAAGAGATCCTCCCAAGTCACATCTTCACCTCATAGGCCACCATGTGGTTGTACATCACACAGGGCCCAAACATCAACAGCCCTGTGAGGAGAAAATGGCTGAAGAGCTGTCTCCACTCCTGGAAGAGCTCATTTCTGTGTGTGCTGAAGGGCACTGCCTGGAACAACCGTGACTGTGCAGCTGCCATGGCAGTGTTCTGCAGCCCTGGCAAGCTCCTCTAGCCAAGCCCTTGACAGGTCCTTGCAAGGGCCTCTGGTGGCAGGCAAGGAAGTCTTCCCCGTTTGAGCAGAAGGGGAACCAGACCCAAACAGGAAGATCACACAGCAGAACTGGGACCAGGCTTTCTGATACCCAGCCCAGTGCTTATCCCCCTGCCCCATGATGCATCCTCTTTAATGACTACCAAAATCATGGAGACCCATCAACCCTAGGCCCTGGTTTGCAAGTAGCTTTAGTTTTGAGTTAACAGTTAGGAGCATATGATTGATTAGCAATGTCTGCCATGAGCGAAGGCCAGAGTGACATCAGAGGTGAAGTATATTTATGGACCCCTCCCCAGACCCTAACCAATACGCCTTTTTCCTCTTCAAAACAAAACAGTTTTGAAATTGCCTCTCCTTCTTCCTGTCTCCAGCTCAATATAATTTTCTGACCTAATGGCCAGAACTTGGGAAATTTCACCTTAATGCTACCTGGAAAGGAAGGGTTTGATAAACAATTTAACATTGACTTCAAGATTGCAAGGGGAGTGTTTAATTTGCTCAAGAGACCCACTGTCCTCAAGGACTCCAGTCCATTAGCTTTTGTCCAACTAATGACAAGTGAGTTTTCTATATTCATTAAAGCAGACTTGGGATTTGGCTTGAGGGGCAGTGAACTGGAGAGGAAATAGCACTGGACTCAGGAGGAATGTTCTTGATTACTTGCCGTACGTTTTGAAAAAGAATAAAATGGGGTTTTCTAAAATCCTTTAAAGTCAGGCTTTTTCTGATATGGGCAGGTGAACCTTCCAGTGGAAACCAGGGGTCCACAGAAAGGAAGTTTGCAGGTCAGCTCAAACCAGCTCAACTAGCTCAGGTCACCCACCAGCTACTTTCCAGTGCTCTCCCAACAGGCTGGGCTGGAGGAGACAGAGATTTGAGAGATCAAGCCTTGCCTTGGAGCACTCACAATCTAAGGGGGGAAACTGAGGCAAAAACACCATCCTGCAGGTGAGGGCAGGGAGCAGCCCTTGCTGGTCCCCCAAGGCCCCGCCTCTCCTGCCCCGCCTCGCAGAATTCAATGGATCTCAGCACGACAAATATTCATCAGGATCCTGGTCAGTGCCAGAAGTGTTGAAAAAAGGCAAAAGTTCTCACCGTGCTGCCTCTGCCCTGTTCTCTGCACCTTTGCTTGCTTCAGCCACCCCATGAGAGATGGAGTTGGGGTTATTTCCTGACCTGCTCAGAACAACTCCCCAAATGCCTACAGAATGCCTAGAGAATGCCAGGAGGTTTCTGAAGCTGCTGCTGGCATAAAGAAGATCGTTGTGTAAATTATGAAAGAGCCCTTGAATTGTCAGGGTTTGGAAGGACACAGATGGCTCACTCAGAAGGGGTGATTGGAGAGTTTACCGAAGACATTATTTATGAAGGTGTGGTCATGGCTAAGAAAAACTAGCAAAAGGTGGTGAAATACCCTAGCAACAGAGGGGAGCTGTTACCGCCCTTAGACCCAAAGGGACCACAGAAGAAAGCAGTTATGAAATCCCACTAGGGCTGCAGCTGGGGAGATTTTGACAGACAAGCACAGCCACTGCCAAGCCAACAGGGAGGGAAAAAAGGAATAAATACTCAAGCCTCTCTCCACCACCTCCTGCCTCCTGCCGGTGCTTCCCCTTGGCTTCTCTGCCCAAGAACAGAGATCCCATAGACACTGGCCTTCCAGGGCACAGAGCAACAGGGAGAAGGGTGAGAGCAGGTGTGGGGGTAGAGATGGCCAGCCCCAGTTCCTCCAGATATTTGCTGCCATCTGCCGGAATGTCATGATAAACATTCCATTCTACAATATGATGTAGATGGCGGCCCAATGTTGGCCTGTACAATCATTGGTGGTAATGCTGCTGTAGTCAGGACTGACCCCAACCTCACTCTTGCTCACCCCTGTCCAGCTCATACTCTGGCTCTTCCAAACACCCTGAACAGAAGTCCTACCCTTCCTTCCCTATTTTCACGTACGCCAGTCTAGAAAGTCCAGGGCAAATACCACCTCCTCCCTGAAGCCTGCCTGATGATTCATGAGGGGGCCTCTCTTCTCTCTCTGTCTGTCTCTCTCTCTCTCTCACACACACACACACACCCCTGGCTCCTCTTTGGGAGTAGAAAGCGGGCTCGTTCATTCCGGAATTGACCCTTGAGTCCCCTCTGTCCGTAAGGAAAGCGTCCACGAAGCCGTTCACCATTGTGTGCCTCTGTCTGTGCCTCCTCCACAGGCACAGGGGTGCGTGCAGGGAGCCCCACCAACAGTGAGCCCGACAGGCGGGATGTGAACCCTGGCTCCACCTCCAACTAGCCTTTGGTTTGGGGCAAGTCACTTTACCTTTCTGAGCCTCAGTTTTCCCATCCCACCCATGGGAATGATAATCCCTACCTTGGGGCTGTTGTGAGAATTCCGTAAGATCCTCTGTGTGGCACTCACTAGATGATAGGGTCCCTTCTCTTCCCCCAGTAGAATGGGAGTCCTCAAAGTCACCGAGGGCACATCGTGTCTGTCCTGACCCAGCCTCGGCTCTCAGGATGGCCTGCGACTCGGAGTGGGCTGGTAGAGTGTGCCAGTTAGAAGGGCAACCTCTGGGTAGCCCCTGGGCAGTAACTTGGGCAAATTACTCGGCCTCTCATGCTGTGTTTCCTCATCTTTAAACCAAATAAGAGAAACAGCAGTGGTGTTCCTAGCTAATACCCATGCAGAGATTACTGGGCCTTTGGCACCATTTTGAGTACCTGAAGTACATGAACTCATTCTATCCCTAAACCACACCAGCAGGTGATATGGTGGCTTTTTCCTGTTCACCAAACATTTCCAGTTGTCTTTCAGGCACCTAGTAGGGTTGCATTTCCCCACTACCTTCAAGTTTGATGCGGTCGTGTGACTTGCCTTAGCCAATAAAATGTGAGCAGCAGCGTCATCTGTCACTTCCTGGTGGAGCTTCCTCCAGAGCTTTGGGAATCAGCAGACCCCAGCAAATGCCAATCCTTCCCTTGGCTCTTCTCGTCTGTCTGGCCATTGACCATGACTCACTAGCAAGTGCTCCCAGCTGCGTGTGAACTGGCAGCCCTGGGTTTTCTTTCCTCCTGGGTTAAACTTCTGGCTATCAGTGGGTGAGTGTCTGTTACCTCCAGCTCACTTGCACCTGGCACCTTAGGAGTCAGGGCATGGCTTGCCTCTCTCTCCCTCTGTCACAGTGACTGGCAGTGTTCCACATAATGGTTGTTCTGTCAGTCTGGGCCCCAGGCTGACAATGACAATAGCACAGGCCAATGTCCTTGGCTGATACAAGAAGGACAAACAATGTGACTGAGACAACTTCAGGCCACTGACATCTAGGAGGTGCTCATTACCACAGCACAACATGGCTCATTCTGACTGAGACCAATGGGGCCTCAAATTTATTATCCCTGTTTCATGGTGAGGAAAGTGTAGTATCTATATCATGGATATGATTGATGTTACCACAGTGTTGGTCCATGTAAGCTGGAACATAATTAGCCCTTAATAAATGTTAGCTATGTAAATATCTATACCCCAGATCGCTACAGACATAGGCATAGATGTAAACATGGACATGACTCTGGGCCTGAAGACCTTTCCACCTTTCCAGAGGATGGCTTAGGGCAGCCCAGGCCCTCACAGCCTGGAAGGAAGGCCAAGGTCTCCTCAAGCTCTTTGTGATTCAGCTTGGCACATTTCTGCTGCTTCACCACAGGCCAGAGCTTGGGAATCAGCAGACCCCAGCAAATGCCAACCCTTTCCTTGGTTCTTCTCATCTGTTTGGCCATTGACCATGACTCACTAGCAAGTGCTCCCAACTGTGTGTGAACTGGCAGCCCTGGGTTTTCTTTCCTCCTGGGTTAGACTTCTGGCTATCAGTGGGTGAGTGTCTGTTACCTCCAGCTCACCTGCACCTGGCATAGTCTGGAAGAACTGGAGACTGTGACAGCCAAAGGGGCAGGCACCCCTGGGCATCTCCCAAGCCCATGGTCTCTGATGCAGGCTCAAGTCACCTGCATCATGTCCTAATCATTCATAATTGACAAGGGGTGACATTTCTGAGCATTACATTTGGATCATGGTTCCCAGTTTACAATGAAACATTTTCCTTTTTATATACTCAGTACTCACTGGGCTCTGGGCACTATACTAGGCTGAGATTTCGGACTCCACCAACTCACAGTTTTAGTGACAACACTACCAATAATGATAGCTAACTTTCAGAATGTTGCCAGGCCTATGCTGAGCAATCTACGTGCATTACCCTAGTTTATTCTCCCAAGAAGTGTATGAGATATGGGATAGGAGTTACCACCATTTTACAGATGAAAAACTGAGGCACAGAAGGATTGTAACAGGGCCAAAGACAGCTGGAAAGTGGTGGAGCCAGGATTCAAACCCAGGCTGATCTGACTCCAGAGCCCTAGTTTCCCAATAGTAGTGACTGTAAATGGCTGAGGTGGAGAGAAGGAAGCTGGATCTTACTCCTTACAGCAGCCTTGTGACGTAGATTTTTTTGTCCTCATGTTGCAGATGGAGTTACAGAGATAATAGAAATTTGTACAGTCACACAGCAAGCAAGTGGAGAACAGGAGTCTTTCTCAAGCATGCATGTCCCTAAATCTCCTCTGTACAGGAAGTCACCAGCCATCAAACACAGGTTGTAATGCAGAACATCATAGACCAATAACACATTTAATAGGGATGCAGAGAGAGGAGCAGAAAGGACGGAGAAACTAACTCTGGGGTAATCAAGGAAGACTTCCCAATGGAGGTGGCATCTGAGTAAGGAGAGGAAAGAAGAGAATCCAGAAGGAAGGCATAAAGACTCTGTGGTATCGTACTGGGGGCCCAACACCTGATGGTGAAGGTAGTGTCAAGTCAGCACTGCCTGCACCTCTTCAAGGCTGCCATTCTAAGCGCCCCCTTGCTAAATATCTCCTTTCCTTCTGCCTGGATACTCAGACCACTCCAACAGGAGGGGAAGTCTTGGCCACTCATATTCCCCATTCCCAGACCATTTGGAGAATGGCCAGGCTGGGGTAGCGGGGGTGGTGGTAGCCTGCAAGATCTCATAAGACACACCTGTAGGCATACGGACAAATTTTCCAACCACATTCAATTTCCCCACCTGTCTTCTTGCTATTGTAATTCCAGCTCCATATATTTTATACCCACCTGCCCCATCTGGAAGGAAATTGGGCAGGAGTAAGAAGGGAATAAAATAATAGGAACTTTTTAGTCTGGAGCAGTCATTAAATGCTCTCTTTGCCCATCAGACTGGTATTTAAATGGAGGAGGGGTCCGGGGTGGGCAGAGGGCATTGTTAACAACTGCCTCAGTGTGGCAGCAGGAGACAGGAATAATAGACTTGGAGAATGTTTTCCAGATTGTGCTGAAGTGATGGAAAACAATGGGTCCCCAAATGGAAGTAATGGTGCATAGAACCCCTCCATGGGTCCTGCAGACAGCAGCAGAAACTCTGCCTTGCTCCCTTTCTAACAGGACTGAATTAATTCAGGGACCGTGTGAGCCTTGTACTCCCATTTCGATTACAGACAGACCTAGTTTTTGCAGAACTCATTAACTAGCAGGTCTTTGGGGACCCGGGCTTCCAAGCCTTGCTGGACAGGCCCCAGGAGCCGGCTTCTGAGGAATCCAGGAGCCCAGATGTGGGCAAAGCCTGTGCAAAGGGGCAGGCCTCAGAGGGCAGCATCGGCTGTTCTGAGTCTGAGGGAGGTCAGTGTGTGGAGGAGGCAGGAGGGGCCTGAACAGGTGACTTCTCGCAGCCACATCAAGCCAGGGCAATGGAGGGACTTGGTGACAGGGTAGTCAAACATTGATGACTGGGGTTCTGAATTTCCTGTGAAAGGTCATTCTCCAGTAGCAACTTAGCTCATCAGCCCAAGGCCAAGAGGGCACTGAAATCCGAAAGGGAGACCCGTGGATGTGTTCGAATGCCACTGGCCTCAAAGTTCAGCTCCAAGGCCCCCTCCTTTAAAAAGCCTTCTGTGACACCCCTGCTGGCCAGGATCCCCCCTCTCCTCTGTTTCTGTCCCCTTCCCAAGGTAGCACGCCCTTTACACTGTGCAGGGGGCGTTCCCAGCTATTTCATGTCTCCCTGCTGAGCCGTAGGTTCCCATAGGCAGGCTTCTTGCACACTTTGCATTCCCAGCTTCAGCAGGCTCCATGTTTACTTGCTGAACACCTGAATGGATAAATGAATGAAAAGTGGCTGTAGGAAAAAAAAAAGTCAAAAGGATACAATATTTCACACAAATCTTCCCAACAGCCTCATACTGGGAGGCAAGTGGAGATACCCCAGCTGAGTGGCGGTACATGTCCACATTCTAGACAGGGCTCCAGAACCATGTAGGGGCAGGCTCTTCCTGGGAGCAGCAGAGCACAACAGTTAACCCAGACTCTGCAGCCTGGCTGTTTAGATTATTTCCCAACTCGGAACTTAACAGTTCTGTGGCTTTAGCCAAGTCATCTGTCCAAATATACCCTTAGTTGCCCCATCTGTAAAATAAGGATGATAAAATAGTTACCTCTTAGGGTGTTATTTGTAAAGTGCTTAAAGCGGTGCTTAGCACAACATAATGAGTCAATATCCCCCTCCTCTTGGACCCACTCAAAGTCTGCTGCTTTTCTGTGTCTCATCCTCCCCATCCCTGCCACAGACACCTGGCCTCTCTCCCCTCGGAAACCAAGCTGCTCTGGGTCAATGGGGGCCCCTGGTGGCCAAGTTGTGGAACTGTCCTACCATTGTTTCTTCACCACCTCTGTCCTTATTTAATCCCATAGAAGAATACTGAATATACCAAGTACCCCTTCTCCTTGCCTCTTACTGTTCACAACTCAGTGTATGCTCCCCAAGTGGCACTTCATTCATAGACACACAACCTCTCTAGCTTGTGTCCAGCTACCTTCCAATAAACTTCCTCCTTTGTCTCTGTTATTTTTCCTCCTCCCACCCTACCCCATTTTGTTACACCTGAGAGGCTGAAGTCTGTTTGGGCTGATAAGCGTACTAGTAACGCTATGCTGCACTGTTCACAAGTCCACAAGTGGCTATTTACATTTAAATTTCAATTCCCTAACATTTAGATAAATTCACTAAAATTAAATAAAATTAAAAATTCAGTTCCTCTGTTGTATTACCCGTATTTCAAATGCTGAATAGCCACATGTAGTTAGTGGTGACACAGTGCAGATATAAAACAGTGTTATCATTTCAGGGAGTTCTATTGGACAACACTGCTCTACATTCCTCTAAATAAGAGAGAAATGCAATTTTCAGCTTCTAAAAGGAAAACACATAATAAAGAACCAGTTATTTCCTTATCTCTATATATATGTTCAATACAGATACATACATGCCTGTGTGTGTGTGTGTGTGTGTGTGTGTATGTGTGTGTGTGTGTGTGTGTGTGTGTGTGTGTGTGGAGAGAGAGAGAGAGAGAGTTTTCATGCATTATAACCGCTAACCCCTTTTGAAAGTATTTGGAAGCCCTTGGAACTTCATAAAGGTGTCTGACTATCACCTCTCATCTAATTCAACCTGCTTTTTCTAGAGCATCAATATTCAAGATAAACAACAACAAACTCTTCCTCCCTCCCTCCCTTCATTCCTTCATTCCTTCGTTCCTTCCTTCCCCTTTGTTCCTTTGTTCGTTCCTTCCTTCCTTCCTTCTTTCCTTCTTTCTTTTTTGAGACAGAGTCTTGCTCTGTTGCCCAGGCTGGAGTGTAGAGGTGCAATCACAGCTCATTGCTGCCTCAATCTACCAGGCTCAAGTGATTTTCCCACCTCAGCCTCCTGAGTAGCTTAGACTACAGGCATGCACCACCATGCCTAATTTCATTTTTATTTTTAGTAGATATGGCTATGTTGCCCAGGCTGTTCTCAAACTCCTGAGCTCAAGCGATCCTCCTGCCTCGGCCTCCCAAAGTGTTGGGATTACAGGTGTGAGCCACCCATGCCTAGCCAACAGCCTATTTCTTATACAGCTTTGTAGACTTAGAATTTTGTTTCCTCACTGGTAATGTAGCTACTATGTTAGTTCAGTTGTAATCCAGCCACTGAATAGCTGTGTGATTTTGTATACATTCCTTACTCTCCTGGAACTGCCATCAAAGGGATGATTGCAGGGGATTACTGAGTCCCCTTTTAGCTCTAAGAAAAGTTTTGCTTCTAGAGTTGTTTTTCATCTCATGAATGTAAAGAAGCTTATATTACATGGCCATTAGGGTCCACAAAGTATTGGTTACATAGCCTTTGTGGGCTGGTGTGGGAACCAACTGACCATTTCACATCTATTTCTATAGGAACACGCACTCTGAGGTCCAAACACTGGCCATGTCTCCGTTGGGGCAGTCAGCACCTAGAGCTCAGTGCTCTAAGCCCAGGAACCTGTGGCAGCTGATGATGATGACTAAAGGCTTGGCCTGGAGGCCAGGGAGGGGGCAGTGAGCAATGCCTACTGTCATTCCTTCTTCCAATACAGACACAAAATATGCTTTTAAGATTGCCTGATTAGCACTAGAGAGAAAAGGTGCCAGGTAGACTTTGTTAGACAAAGACAAGTGTTCCTGCATTTATTCAGCTGTTCATGGTGTGTTAATGTTAATCCCATTGACAACGGCAGGAATAGGCCTAGGCTGCTGTGCCCTTCCTCTGTGTAATCAAGTACTTCAAGGCAGATAGCGTGGGTGTCCACACTATATGTGACAGCCCAGGAGTCAGACGCCCTTCCTCCTGGAGAAGCAGATCATTTTCGCTCCGCCCTTTCTTGGAAAAACAGCTTGGAAGGGGATCGCTTTACAGTGTGTGGGGGCCTGACACACCCCTGCTCCCAGCTGATTGGGTCAGAGGCAGAATCTGCCTAAGCTGACCCCATCAGACTGTCTCCTCTGAAAATCTGGAATCAGGGCACTCCGACACTGGCCAATGAGCCACAGGGAATGGCATAGGAAGGCCTTGGAAGTTTGAGGGCTGAAGCTACCATTTTGTGGAGGCCTTGATAGGCCTTGTGCAAGCAGATGATAAGCAGCAAAGCCAGATCTGAGAGCAGTAGAATGAAATGGGAGCTCAGACAGAAGCAAAATGAGAAACCAGGCATCCAGTAATGGATAGTGGCAATGTGGAAAGGGGAGATGGCCAAGGTCCAGTTCCTGAGAGGCCCATCTGTACCTTTGGTGACTGGGTGCCACAGGAGCCCCCAGTGCCTTCATAGCTCCTCCCCCTTTTTTTAAACCTGAGCTCCCAGTGGGCTTCTTGCCTTGAAATGATTCCCGCCCAGGCTCTCAGAGTCTCAAAACAGAGCTATGATAAAATGAATGGATTTTGCTTGTCTTTGCCTTTCTGCTTCCAGGGTTAATTTTTGTTTTTGTTGTTATTTTTTGTTTTGAGATGGAGTCTAACTCTGTTGCCCAGACTGGAGTGCAGTGGCGTGATCTGGGCTCACTGCAACCTCCACCTCCCAGGTTCAAACAATTCTCTTGGCTCAGCCTCCCGAATAGCTAGGATCACAGGCACCTGCCACCATGCCTGGCTAATTTTTGTATTTTTAGTAGAGATAAGGTTTTGCCATGTTGGCCAGGCTGGACTTGAACTACTGACCTCAAGAGATCTACCTGCCTCGACCTTCCAAAGTGCTGGGATTACAGGCATGAGGCACCACGACCGGCCAGGTTAATTTTTTTAAACTCTGTTTGATCATGGCCTGAGGTCCCCAAAGGAGGAAACTAGATGTGTAGAGAAAGACTCAAGGGTGGGTTAGCAAGCATTTTGGGGTACCTCTCGTGTGCCAGGCCTAAGTAAAGGACAGAGGGGTACCCTTCCCCTTCCATTTCCAAATCTTAGCCTGGCTCCAGGGCTCTGCTCAGCACCGCTGCTTCCTTAAGACCTTCCCAGATCTACACACACATGCACACACACCCCAGCCAGAGCAAGGCTTGCTGTCTCCCAACTCCCAGGGGATAGTCTCGGCACCTCCATTTGGCCATTCCTACTTTCTGCCTTGTGTGACAGTTCTGTGCATCTGGTCCTGTCCCTTACTAGCATGTGAGGTCCTTGGGGACAGAAGCTGGCTTCTGCTCACCTAACCAGTTTGGCTGGATTGCCTGATGTTTAGACCATATGGTTTTGACGAATGTAGCCTCATAGGTGTTCACACAAAGCCATGGCATCAAAACCAAGTCTCCAGAATGCTCTGGAGTATGACTGGGCGCAACTTCCTGTTTTTGTAAAGGAGGACACTGAGGCTGAGGGAAGTCACTGAGAGATGCACCTTGACTTTCTGCATTCCTGATACAGCTAATCTCACTTCTCTGAGAAGTCATCTCAGACGCTCTCCGTTGACATAAACATCTCCCACCTCCCAGCCTAGCTCTGTGAGATGTTATTCCATGTAATGATGGCCAAGGGAGGCATTCCAGATAAAGAATTAAGAAGAAGCCCCAGTTCTTCACTAGTGAAACTGGTGGGTTCCCCTAGTTTGACAGATCTGCTCACTGAAATGATTGATGGGACATAAGCACTGTTTGTGGCTTTTTGGACCTTTAATGTAGGGAATGCAAGCATTTGTCCCTATGCACTTTCTCATGTCATTAAACAGCTAAGGGGCAGTTCAACATGACCTCCAAAAGGATGGGTTCTTGGCCAGCTCCTTAAGCTCATGCTTTTCTAATTAAGAACATTACACATGGCTGGGCACAGTGGCTCACGCCTGTAATCCCAGCACTTTGGGAGGCCGAGGCGGGCAGAACACCTAAGGTCAGGAGTTCGAGACTAGCCTGACCAATATGGAGAAACCCTGTCTCTACTAAAAATACAAAATTAGCTGGGCATGGTGGGGCATGCCTGTAATCCCAGCTACTCGGGAGGCTGAGGCAAGAGAATTGCTTGAACTTGGGAGGCAGAGGTTGCGGTGGGCCGAGATTGCACCATTACACTTCTGCCTGGGCAACAAGAACAAAACTCTACCTAAAAAAAAAAAAATACACACAATTATCAAATATTCATCACCAAATATAAAAAACCATCATAATAAGGACCAGATTAACTTCTGATACCTATGGCATAGCTTACATGTAAACTAAACCAACAGCACAAAAACACTAAATATTGATTAAATTTTGGTTCTGTCTTCTGGATCAGGGATGATAAATAGGTTTCCTCTCAATTGCCAGTGGTCATTGTTTGGTGGCAGTTACTTACAGCCTGTGTTAAGAAGGATCCTGAGGGAGGTCCAGAGTAAGGTGCTGATGGATGACTTGGATTTCACAGAGTAGAAATTGGGACATTGAGAAAGGTCATTTTAGCAAAGGGGCTGGGCAAACGCTCAGCCACATGGCCCATCCATGGAGACATCCCCATCAAGCACCCTGGGAGCACTTGGTTCCTGACCCAAAAAAAGACGACAAGCCTGAGGGTTGGGGTGCAGTCCCACGAACAGCCGCTGGGAAATTTGAGTGAGAGCACGCCTGGAGGGCAGTGGTGGCCCACTGTAGTTCCCTGTCAGCTATGATGGCAGGGAACCCTGAGGAGAGTCAGCTGCAATGCAATTCTGCAAGGTCACTGTGACCCCCTCCTGCCAGGGGCTCCCTCTTCTCACCCAGGAGGGACAAGACTGTGCCTGCTTCATCAAGAAACTCAATGTTCATTAAGGCTGTGATTCCCAGCCTTGCAGGCAGTGCCAAAGTGGTATTCTCTTAAGCCCTTCACACATCTGTCTATCCATCCTAGAGACTGTCTAGATCCCCAGACCAGAGAAAGCCCAGAGACATGGCACTGCAGCCCAGACCCCAGGAGGCTTGCACAACAGGGCTTAGATCTTGCCTTTGGCCTGTAGCCCCGTTCATTCCCCTTCTCCTCATCTCCCACCACTCCCTCACCTGCAGGGGGACGTTTGACTCCAGCATTTGAATAAAATAAAAACTGACAGTGTGGAGCCATGTTCAGGGCTGAGCTACAAAGGATTCATGCAATTATCTCTGTCAGAATTCATTTTGTCAATGCCCCTCTCCTTTTCAGGTTGCACACTACTAATATCTTTGGGAAGTTTGAGGAGACTGAGAATAAAGTGAGGGAAATGCCAGCAACCTCTCCAGGGGGAAGTGGCTCCCAAGTGGAACAAACTCCAGAGTGGCACAAGAGGGGACAAAGGCAGTGTGAAGGGAGAGCAGCGATGAGAGAAAAGCCCTCGGGGAGAAGAGCCACAGAAAGTCCCTGAGTCACAGTGGGGAAGGACCTTAGAGGCATCTGCTCAACCCCTGCCCTGATGTCAAACCCCACACTCAGTCCCACAATTCAAGGACAGGGGCCCATCAGAGTTCAGACCACTTCAGCTCTCGGGGGGTGTGGGCAGCCCCTACAATGTTCCTTCAGAGTCTGGCCTAAGACTCCCTAGAGAGACCACAGATCCAGGCCTAGAACAGCCCAGGAAAGGGCAGCCCCATGTATGAGTCAGCCACACACAGGTTATCCCAACCATTGCCCCATATCCTTCCCACATGTGAGCGCAAGTGCACACACACACACACACCCTCCACCAATGGAGAATCTAGATGCTAACTACTCCTAAACCAGTGCATCCAGCTCGTACTTCTGCCCTGCACTCCAAGTGTCCAAGTCAATGGGCCATGCCTCCTTGAATGGCTAATGGGCATCCCAAACTTAGCACCTGATCTTCTCCCCAACCTCCTCTACACCTAGGCTTCCTCATCCCAGCTAACCACAATTCTGTCCTTTGAGTTGCTCCCACTAAAATCCTCAGAATCATTCTTACTTCCTTTATTTCAACCAAACCCCACATCAGATCTGTCAGCAAGTCCCATCAGCTCTGCGTTTTTCAAGGTAAGTCCAAAGTCTGACCTCTTCTCACACCTCCCCTGCCTCCACCCTGGTCCAGCCCCCACCCTCTCTCATCTGCATCGTGTGCCACTGGCTCACAGCAGCCTGGGTGAGCCTGTGAAAGTATCAGTCCAGTTATGCCACTCTTCTCAAGACCCCCAGTGTCTTCCCATGTCACTCAGTGTAGCAACAGGGCCCTCATATTGGTCTACAAGGCTATGCTGGATGCCATGACATACCCCTTAGACTCCTCTTCATGGATATAGAATTTATCCCCCCAGATGTTGGGAGTGGCACCAACCACCAGCCCACAGCCATCATCTCCTCAGGCACTGCCTCAACTAAAAGTCACGCCCCCTCTTCCAGGCAGCCTGCACCCAGTGCCTGATTAACACAGGAGTATAAGACCTGGCCATCTCACCCCAACTTAGGATGCCTGTAGAAAGTGAGCCTGTCTTCAGACCTCCATGCAGGGTTGGCTGAGGCCTCCCTTGAGACTGCATCACAGCTCAGCTTCCTCCTCTGCCTTGTCTGTTTTCCTTCCTTCTCCTTTCCTTTTTCTTTCCTTTGCCCCTTCCCTTTCCTTCCTTTCCCTTCCTTAGGTGTTGATCCCAAAAGAACTCCCTAATAAACCTTCTGCCCACTAATCTTCATCTCAGAGTCTACTTCCTGCTCCAGCCACACTGGCCTCCTTGCTGTTCCTTAGCGTGACAGGCATGCTGCGCCTCAGGGCCTTTGCCTGTGTTCCCCCTCTGCCTGGGAGCTCTCCCCACATGTCTTCACATGGCTCACTCCTCATCTCTTTCATGTCTTTACTCAGGTATCAACTTCTCAGGGAGGCCTTCCTTGGCCATCCCATCTACAACTGCAATAGCCCTAACACTTCTATCCCCTTCCCTATTTAGTTTTCTTCTTAGCCATCACCATCAGATGCATATACTGTGCTTTGTTCATTGTCTCCCCTAGTAGAGTGTAAGCTCCATGAGGGCAGGAATCTTTGTCTTTTGTTCAATGTGGTGTCCCCAATAACTAGAATAGTGTGTGACACATAATAGGTGCTCATTAGATATATGTCGAATAAATGAATTAGATTCAATGTTGTGAAATCCATCCTTTCAGTTATCCACCCACCCATCGATCCATCTCTCCATTCTTCAAGCAGGTACTGAGCATCCTCTGTGGACATACCAGGCAGGTATTGCGGGAAACTCACACACACACACACACACACACACACACACACACACACACAAACCCCCAAGTCTCTCTGTTAATGGTTTCATGGTCCAGGAAGAACAGGAACAGTACGAGGCTGAAAGGACTCAGAGGAGAAGAAGATCCTGCCACCTGGGAAATGAACCATGGGAGCCTTCCTAAAAGAGAACATGGGAGGACAGGGAGAATTTAGAGAGGGGGACATGGAGGGAGGACACTCAAGCCAAGGGAAGGATAGGATCAAAGGTGTGGATTTAAGTGTGTTGCGGGAGGACAGCTCAAAGGGCACAGAGCTTTGGAAAACACTGGGAGGGACTCCTGGGATGGTTAGTGAGGACAGCAGATGAAGACATCAAACCTTTTATCTTTATCAGACAAATGGGGAACCCATAAACGTATCCATGCAAAGGACTGATATGGTTACAAATACTCTAGTTTACAGGCAGACAGGGCAGTCATCGAAGATGGCAGAGAAGGAACATCAGAAGTTGGGCTGCAGGGTCCAGAGAGCTGGCTCCAGTCCAGTGTCATCACCAACTGTGCAGGTGATATTTGGTGATACCAAACCACATTTCCTCCTTTTTGGCCCACTGGTACCTGTCATAGACCCCCAGAGTCACTGAGCTGCAGGGACCTCAGAGGTCATCTAGTCCAGGTTTCTGAACACCAGGCTGGGAAATCAATTTACTGAGCTGTGAGTGTTTTTAAAATGAAATAGAAGAGAAAGGACTATGTCAGAGTACATCACTTATAGTAAAGGTAAAATTGCTTTGCGAAACTTTTGTTTCAGTTGTGTGTGTGTGTGTGTGTGTGTGTGTGTGTGTTGGTTTACAATATAAATCCATGTCTGTGGGTCACGGTAATAAATATTTGAAAGCCATTGATTTAGTCCACTCCTTTTCCACTGTGTGAATTGCCTTTACAACATTCTCAGTAAACTACATGGCCACTCTTGCCTGCCTCCAGGAAGAGGATGTGGACCACCTCCCAAGGCACAAGCCCTCTCTTTGTTGGCTGCTCTGTGCCTAAGAAGTATCTCCTCACACTGAGCTCAAATCTGCCTGTTGTCCTTCTTCCCCTTGGTCTTCTCTAGCTCTCTGAATATCTCCCCCAATAAATTCAATCCCATTTCAGATGACTGCATTAACAGAATTGAAGACAACCCTGCAGGACTCGTGACCGTGTTTTCAAGGCTTCGGGGCTCATCTATTTCTATTGCCTGCCAGCAATCCTTTCTCCAGGAAGCAAGACCTGAGTTTTCATTCCAGGCAACCTCCTCAACTCCATTCACAATCAACATGACTTGAGTGGGACTGACCCCAGTACCTGCTCCAGGGTTGGCCAATGGGAGCACCATGGACACAGGGACAGGCTCCAGAGTGGACACATGATCCAAGCTGAGCCAACAAAAGACAGTCGGGGGCTTTCACTGAAACTATTAGAAAAAACGGTAGGCTGCTAAGATGGTAGACTATAATAAGCCCAGAACTGCAATGAACGTCTTTACCAAAGCCTAGGGCAAATCTGCTATTAAATGAAGCCAACGAAGAGAAAAGTAAAGAAAGAGGACAAAGAAAAAGAGAAAGAGAGGAAGAGATGCTGAGGTCCCAATCCTCAGTACCTGGAAATTGGGTCTTTATAGACATAATCAAGTTAAAATGAGGTCATTAGAATAATCCCTAATCCAATATGACTGCCTTCCTTATAAAACAGAGAAACTTGGACACAGAGACAGACACAGGAAGATTGGGTGGAGACACAAGGAAAATACCATGTAAAGACAGAGGATTGCATGCTGCACCTGTACGTCAAGCATGCCAAAGAATTCCGGCAAACCACCAGAAGCCAGGAGGAGGCAAGCATGGATCTCTACAGATTCCAGAGGGAGCGTGGCCCTGCCAGCACCTTGATTTCAGACTTCCAGCTCCAGAACTGTATGAGACAATACATTCTGTTGTTCTAAGCCCCTAGTTCATGGCACTTTGTTATGGAGGCCTAGGAAACACATCCAGTTGCTTACACTCACTTTGTACCTACTGTGTGCATCACACTGATCTAAGAACGTTACAAATAGTCACTCACCTAATAGTCACAGTAGCCCTAGAAGGTAGTGCTACTTTTATCCTCGTTTTCTAAGTGAGGAAACTGAGGCACAAAGATGTGAAGTCACTTGCCCAAGGTCACAGAGTTCATAAGAGGTGGGGCCAGGCTCCAAGTCCAGGCAGTGATGACTACTAGAAAATATTGTCTCTCAAGAGACTGGGGTGTCCTGATGGTGCTGGTAAAGCCCTAGAACCCACAGGTGCAATGTCAGCGATGGAGTCAATAGATATTCATTTTTCCTTCCATTTTGGGGGTTCAGGGGTTTTATTTTGGTTTTGGTTTTTTATTTTTTTGAGACAGGCTATCATTCTTTCACTCAGGCTAGAGTGCAGTGGCGTGACCATGGCCCTGCATCCTCCACTTCCCAGACTCAAGTGATCCTCCAGCCTCGGCCTCCCAAGTAGCTGGGACCACAGGCACCCACCATCACACCTGGCTAATTTTTGTATTTTTTGTACAGATTGGGTCTCACTGTGTTGCACAGGTGGGTCTCAAACTCCTGACCTCAAGTGATCCACCCACCTTGGCCTCCCAAAGTGCTGGGATTACAGGTGTGAGCCACCGTGCCCCGCCAGGTTATTGCTTAAATTCTTTTGATTTGGTTTTCCGTCTCTAACCACCCCACCCCACCCCATGGGCATCCCAGCTCTGTGGACCTTGCCGTACAGCATATGTCTCGGGCGCTTCGTCATTCCACCCTCTCCACACCTCCCCTGGGTGCACTACCATTTGAGGATGTCCTTTATTTCTTGCCTTGTAACAGAGTTTCTTAAAAATGACACACGGGCTCTCTGGATGGTCCTCAGGGATCCAAAAGCAGAGAATGGCTGGAAAGGGCAGCAGGGAGCCTGAAGGGAGTTTCTTGAAAAATTCATCAGAGAAAATCTTTCTCCCAAGTTTGAAGCAGAGAGAATTAAAGGAAAGAGGAATGACAACAAACACATGAGAAGTTCATGAGTGACCTTAGGGAACTGGGCATCAACCAAGGCTTGGGGGTTGACTGGGAGAGATGGAAGGAGGAAAGAGGACGAGGAGGAGACCTTGTCAATGTCTTCCTCCACGACATGCTCTCCAGGCCCTGTCAACCATTTCTCTCCAAGCATCTCTCCAATTCGGCCCTTTATCTCCTGTAAGAAATCTCAGGGCTGACCAAGTCCCACAAAAAGACAGTTCTAGCGCTCTAAGGGGAGGGAGATTTCCTGATGAGTAGAATTTTTCAGTCTGGAGCACCATGATTTTGTGCGAGAACACAAAATCACATTATGTAAAACCCAGAGGGCTGCAGAAAAGACACAGGGAACTTGCCATCAGCTCCCAACCCCCATGCTCTGGAGGCAGCTGGTAGCAGGTGAGAGACAAAGTTTCAGGCCAAAAGATAAAAGTGCGATTAATAAATAGTGGGTGGTAAATGTTTATAATTCAGGATCTCATACTGTCAGAATGCAACATGTTGAAGGAGGACTTGGAGAATGTCAGAGGCCTCTGATGGGAGGCAGTTTGGTGACACGTGCTGGCCTTAGTGTTGATGAGAGACAGGGTGAATGCGTGACAAAGAAGGAAGAGGCAGGAGGCTGGGAAGGAAGACAGAAAACAGAAGCAATGGGATGATGGGAAGAGAGGACAGGAGAGAAAACAGAAAGTGGAAGAGAAAGATAAGACATGGAGGAGCTGGGACGGAACAGCTCCCAGAGCAGTGGGGGAGGGTGGGACTGCCCACCACGTATGAGGGCAGAGATGCCCAGATCAAAGAGGGGGCCCATCCGGCTGCATCATGGGGCATATAATGGGAGGCCTTGGGCCTGTATGAATAGCAGAGGGGGCTAGGAGTCCGACAGATGCCATTAAGAAGCGACTTGATAACCCTCATTAAACAGAACTTCACAAATGGCTTAATTTGAATTTCCAATACTTGATAGATTTCAAACCCAGAACAATTACTTCTGATGTAAAGGATCAATTCACGGTTTCCTGAACTGAATCCTAAGGAAATGGAAACACTTCCAACAGGGTTGCTCAGATTAAAACTCCTTCAAATGCCAAATAGACACTGACTTATCTCTTTTTAAACAACTTTTTTTGTAAGGCAAAGGTTAGCATTGTAAGGAAAGGCAGGATGAAAATTAAACTCACGTACTATGACCTCCTCGGGCTGGGTTTGAATTACATTTCCACATGGCCTGTGAAGATCTTTCATGTCTCTCGCTCCATTAGTTGGTGTACTTAGCAAAGGTCGGGTAACGAACAGGCATACTTTTCTAGCCCAGAACAAGATCCTGGCACACAGCCTTTTCCTGCCTTCCCTGGTGTGTTGGAGGTCACCGGTGTGGGCGTGAGTCATCTCTGCATGCTCCACATCCTGAAGGTGCCTGCAGATGATGGACGTTAACTACCATTGTCGCCACAGTTCCGGGATGGCACAGGTCTCACATGCTTCCCCAGTGCTCTGGGGGCCAGAGAGAATTTAGTGGAAATCCTCAAGTGTGTCTGTTTGAATTTTCCGCAGGGGAAATTCATGTGTGCTTTTCAGGGAACGGCTTCATTTCAAGCAACTCTGCCAGCTGAAGTCAAAAGAGGGAGGAGGAAGCAGAGGAAGACAAA
Source organism: Homo sapiens (assembly GCF_000001405.40). Lineage (NCBI taxonomy): Eukaryota > Metazoa > Chordata > Mammalia > Primates > Hominidae > Homo > Homo sapiens. The sequence continues at coordinate 36,781,429 of NC_000009.12, read as the reverse complement.
GAGAAGAAATGGCGAGAGAAGTCAGTGGAATAAGAAAGCTTCCCATCCCCAGACACTCAGAGCTTTCTGTCTGCTGGTCTCAACCGTGGTTCACATTCATGTGGGTCTCTGAGCTTCATGGTCCACTTTGCCCCATTTCTTTGCCTTCAGAGTAGGATCTGAATTCACCCCTTTCATAAGATGGCATTAGCCGAAAAGATGGGCAGAGCTTGTGTTGGGTAATAACAACATGTGCTCTTATTCTTCTCCAGCAATGGAACCTCCCTGTTCTGGGGACATAGACAGATGAACTAGGTCTGGCCTTGCCCCCAGGGAACTTAAAACTGAGGAAAGCAGATGTGTAAGTCATTGGCTGGCACCCACGGGCACTGGGGATTCCGGCCATGCCTCCCCCTCCACCCACCACCTGAAAGAACACAGCCCAGGTTTCCTGCGGGCAGAGAAGAATGTTCAACCTGTTTATGGAAGGGAATTCAACTTCTTCTCTGTCCTGCTTTTCCTCCCTCTGCCTCTTCTATCTTAGAAGTCACTCAGCCATCTGTTGGGTTATGCTTCCTCCGGTCTCTTTCCCCAGTAGTTTGGAAGATACACATTCTATTCCTGGTTGTTTAGTGCTGACTCTTTGAACATTTAAACACATCCTGAATGTTACACTTTTCAACGACTGAAGGGAATGGGAATCTTTCCTATCATGCTCCTTTCATTCCCCACACCCCAAACTTCTTTACCTAGGAGGGTCACCAGTTTTCAAACGTACACAAAAGGCTGCTGGCTTTTTTTAGCTGATGCTTGTGTGAAGGAGTAAGGAACGTATGGGTGAGAACCAAGAAGACTGCAGGGGGAAAAGCAAGGGGGAGGTTACTGAGCCCAAGGACAGGAAATGGATTGTGGCTGGAGGACTGTGGGGGAGCAATCGGAAGAACCCAGGCACAGTCTAAATGTCCAGGCCGACCAGCCACCCAATCTTCAGGTCTCCTGCTCTCTGAGCCCTGGCCACCAGCGCCCCAGTGACTGAGTGAGGAGGAGCTGTCTTCGGGGCACCTCCCCACTGTGCCAGAGGGGCCCCCGCATGCAGTGAGGGGGGGCTCCGTGCTGTTCTTTGGGATGAAAGCCAGCACACCAGGACAGCCAGGGCTGGGATCGTGGGGGTGACATCAAAGATCCCCAGCTCTCTCCTCTCCATCCCCTGCCTCTCCTTTTTACTGGGCTAAGAATCTGCCAATGACAAGCCCTCCTACGGGAAAGAGAAACTGTGAGATGGGTTGTGAAATCAGACAACATTCAGAACCAGAGCCCGCAGCCGTGGCAGATCCTCACCTCCCAAAGAGCCATTCGGAGGATCTACCCAAGGCTCCCCCCACCTTGCCAGCCTGTCTACTTATAATTGTTATTTTTCTGGAACTAGCTATCAAAATGGATATAGAATATTCCTCATTCCGTACCCAGGACCTAGAGTGACCTTTTGAAAATGTAAATTGGATCATATCCCTTCCCTGTATAAAGTCCTTTGACTGCTTCCCTTCTCCCTTAAAATAAAATCCAAAGTCCTTACCGTGCCCTGCAGGGCTCTGTGTGGCCTGGCCGCTGTCTGCTTCTCTCACCGGATGATGTGCTGTTCCTGCCTTGCTCATCACACTCCAGCCCTGCACGGCAGCTTCTCCGTTCCTTGGAACTGCTGGTCTGGTTCCAGCTCACGCCCTCTGCACAAGAAGGTCCCTCCACTGAGAACACTGTCTCTCTTCTTCTCTTGTCCTAGCTCGCTCCTTCTCATCCATCAAATCTCAACCTCAATGTCACCCCCTCGGAGAAGACTTCTCCAACCCCCCTATTGAAATTAAGCACCACCACCCTATATATTTTCTTTACACGGCACCGTCTTCCTTTGCAGCACTTGCCTCAATGCGTGATTACTTCTCCATGCGCATGGCTTCCTTGTTTATTGTCACTCTTGTCCCACCAGGCTGCAAGTTCCACTGAAAAAGGCCCTGTCTTCTTCACTACTGTTTCTCCAGCACCTAGAACAAGGCCCTGTACATAAAGGCTACTCAGTCATTATTTGTTAAGGGAATGAATGAATTTATTAAATAAACATTTAGTGAGCATTTCAAGGTTGTGGTGAAGATCAAGTGAGATAAACGATTATCACCATAAGCAGCCTCATTACTATTTGTACCTGCAATAAACTTGCAGACAATCGCATGGGCCAACCACCAGCCCATTTTGGGTTACTTCCAGCACAATCCGAACAATAGCAACCATGGAAAAGGTCAAGGTTCCGCCACACTATGCACAACAAGAAGCATGTACACTCTGATCATCTGGATTAATCTCCGGACTTAGGTTTGATCTATTTCTGTCAAGCAAGCAAATATATATTGATATTTGCAAAGAGCCTCATGCATGTGGTGCCCACTAAAATATGGCTGCATTTTCCATAGTAATTGTCTCTAGAAGCTCATTCCCAGCTGCACTGGCTCATTTAGCTAATCTGCAGTAAGTACGGTATTGATCCAAGCAGCAAGAGAGGAGCACATTAACCTGGCCCAAGGAAGGGTGATTAGTTTGGCTGCACGGTCACTTCACAGAATTGGCTGAGATCTAAAAGCCACACTGAAATAGTCTGGAAGTCAGCCCCCTATCCTCACCTCCCCACCTCCCCTCCTGAGCAACACACACATTCGCACAGGCAGGGGATCTGAGCTGGTCACAAGGAGAGTGGCAGTGTGACAGCAGCACCACAAGGAGACATTATCCCTCCCAGGAAAGGCTCTTGTCATTCATTCCTTCATTCATTCATAAGAGACGATATGTTACAAATGTGATAATACCCAGTGCTCACTAAGATGAATCAATATTGATATTCTCATATGCTGCTTATGGAAATGGAAATGAGTAAAATTATTTGAAAAGCCAATTTAGCAGAATGTATCAAAATGTTTATATGATTCGACCCCGTAATTCTACTTCTCTGAATATATTCTTAGTAAATAGTCAGGGATGTGCAGTATTGCTTATAATAATTATAAATGTCCAAAATTAGGGACTGGTTAACTGACTAACCTACTGTATATTTTTTCAGAGAATATTCTTTAGTCATTGAAAAGTATTTGTGATTTATCATATGGGGAAGGGGCCAGGGGACAATCAGCTTTCAAAACAGTGTGGATAATTTGTAGATCATTATCCCAAAATGTTTAAAACTAAATTTGCAGCTGGGCGTGGTGGTGCACATCTGTAGTCCTAGAGTAGTAGTACTCCAGAGGCTGAGGTGGGAGGATTGCTTGGGCCCAAGAGATTGAGGCTGCAGTGAGCCATGATCAAGCCACTGCACTCCAGCCTGGGTGACAGAGCAAGACCCTGTCTCAAGGAAAACAAACAAACTAAATTTGCTAATATCCATAGAAAAACTACTGGGTTGTTGATTAAGAAAATGTGGCACATGGCCGGGCGTGGTGGCTCACGCCTGTAATCCCAGCACTTTGGGAGGCCGAGGCGGGTGGATCATGAGGTCAGGAGATCGAGACCATCCTGGCTAACAAGGTGAAACCCCGTCTCTACTAAAAATACAAAAAATTAGCCGGGCGCAGTGGCGGGCACCTGTAGTCCCAGCTACTCGGGAGGCTGAGGCAGGAGAATGGCGTGAACCCGGGAAGCGGAGCTTGCAGTGAGCCGAGATTGCGCCACTGCAGTCCGCAGCCCGGCCTGGGCGACAGAGCGAGACTCCGTCTCAAAAAAAAAAAAAAAGAAAATGTGGCACATATACACCATGGAATACTATGCAGCCATAAAAAATGATGAGTTCATGTCCTTTGTAGGGACATGGATGAAATTGGAAATCATCATTCTCAGTAAACTATTGCAAGAACAAAAAAACCAAACACCGCATATTCTCACTCATAGGTGGGAATTGAACAATGAGAACACATGGACACAGGAAGGGGAACATCACACTCTGGGGACTGTTGTCGGGTGGGGGGAGGAGGGAGGGAGAGCATTGGGAGATATACCTAATGCTAGATGATGAGTTAGTGGGTGCAGCACACCCGCATGTCACATGTATACATATGTAACTAACCTACACATTGTGCACATGTACCCTAAAACTTAAAGTATAATAATAAAAAAAAAAGAAAAGAAAAACTACTGGGTTGATAAAAGAAAAGGTGGATGCACCAGAGAATGTTATATTATTCTCCATTCTGTCTGTGTTTGAAATATTTCACAATATTAAAAATGAAAAGAAAGATTGAAAAGATATATATCAAAATATTGACAGTGGATGTAGGATTTCAGGCTATCTTTAATTTTTCTCTGAGAGATTGTCTCAATTTTCCAGATTTTCTAATGTGAACTTGTATTCTTTTTAGGATCCAGAAAGAGAAAAAATAAAAATTCCTCTGCAACAAAGCAACATGGACACATAGTATCCCGTTGGTGAGCACCTGCCAAGCACAGGGCCTGGGAAGCAGTCATGAAAGAGCCATGGGCGGGTGAGAACAGGCATTCCAGGCAGGAAGAACAGCTTGGATAAAGGCTGGAAGGTGGGAAAAGTGTTGTATGAACAAGTTGGTAAATCCTTGTTTGGCTGTCAGGATCCATGAAAGGTGTGGTGGGAGATCAGACTAGATGGGTTGGGAACACCCAGAAATCAGACAATTGGGAGCCATTAAAGAGGGCTGGGGAGGAACAACGGGAGTGTCGTGTCAGGAGGCTCTCTGTGTTGGCATGGTCCTGCAGGCGGGAGTAGCGGATGGTTGGGTGGGCTACGCTACAGCCATGGTACTCAGTGGAGAGGCTGGAATGCGGTCAGGTGCGAGAGATGTGGGCTGAGCCAGGGCAGTGGCAGCAGGGCACCCAGGAAACATCAACAGACTATTCCCTGCCTGTTTCCCAAGACCTGGCACAGGCTCTCTGGAGTGATGGGAAGAGCTCAGGCTGAGGCGCCAGACTGCCTGGGTTTGATCCTGGCTTCACCACTCACTAGCTGTGTGACCATGGGCAAATTACATAACCTCTCTGTGCCTCGGCGTTTTCATCTGCACAGTGGGGATACTGTTGTGAGGATCCAGTGAGTTAATGCACATGAAGCATCTGGCCCAGGGCCCAGTACAGAGTAACAGCCCCGTTAGCCAGCGTTGTTCCCTCTGACCCGAAGTCCACTCAAAGTGCCCTGAGAAGATCATGTTGCCTGCAGGACCACCCGTATCTGCAAGGGGCACAAGCCCAGGCACACAGTGTGGGCTCTGTCTTTCTGATCCTCTGCAAACAGTTATGAAAGAGTTAAAATGTTAACAAAGTCAAGATCAAGGAGAGACTGGAAGGATCTTGTAGAAAGGTCCAGTGGCCCAGCCTCCAGTCTCAGCTTTGCCATTAACTCCCTGAATCAGAATCGGAAGTCAGGCTGATGATCATTGTCCTGGGACGGAATCTCAACGCCCCTGGCTGATGGTAGTGCGTCTGGGCATGGCCTCCTCTTCTGGGTCCAGGGCCACTTTTATGACTCCACCACCAGCCTGGGTCCAGTAAGTGAATGGGTGTGGCTTCTCTCGTCTAAAGGGACCTTTCACAGCAGCTGTCCTGGGCCAAGATCCATCTACTCATAAGGAAATAAACAAAAACTCTAGTTACTCATCATATACACCTTGCACCCACCAGTTCCTAACGCGAAGTGCAAGTGGCTTCTTTAAAAATTAAAGGGTTGAAGGCAGAGCTGCCTTTGGTCTAAGTGGGCAGGAGAGGTTGGTGGGAGCAGGCAGTCCCCAGTGGCCCCATCTCCTCTCCTGTTTCCAGATCCACAGAAGTGATAAACAGGCTCATTACAAGGCAAAGGATATGCACAATCAATCCACACCTTTAGGGCTGGGCTACAATTTAAGGAGAGGAGATGAGAGGATAAATAAAAAGGCCTATTTTCAAGAGAGCCATTTAAGCCCAGAGAGAGGCCATAATAATGTGCACACCAGCTCTGCTTAATTCATCCCTGGCTCTCTCAAAATTGCCCGGAGATAATCAAAAGGAAGTGAAGAGGAACAACACAGCCTCCAATTCAGAAAAGGCTGTAGTAATCAGAACCCGAGGCCTGGACCCCGCTGTCAGGCAGCGCAGTTGGTCACCATGGGGCCTCCCGCTGTCTTCCAGAGGCAGAAGACACTTCCGTTCTTCCTGTCTCACCCTTAAGTCGGAAAGCATGGAATTGACACATCCACGATTGTATTTCTAGAATCATCTCTCAAAGAGATAAATGACTTCCTCCAGCCAGCGTTGTCTGACCTGGGTCTGGGAATAGATAAATTCATTTTACTCAGGAGCTGGAGCTCCATTTTTCTCCTGGTGCCATCTATAATCCCATCTCTTTCAATGTTTGAGGCACTCAGTATGATGAATGTGCCCTAGGCATAGGGTGAAAGGTGAAACCTCACTGGGAAGATGGAGCAGCTGATCTTCCGGCCAACCCCTTGTGACAACCTGCTTTCAGGGCATGTTGGGTTCAAGAAGATACCATCTCATGCCAGTTAGAATGGTGATGATTAAAAAGTCAGGAAACAACAGATTCTGGAGAGGATATGGAGAAATAGGAATGCTTTTAAATTGTTGGTGGGAGTGTAAATTAGTTCAACCATTGTGGAAGACAGTGTGGTGATTCCTCAAGGATGTAGAACTAGAAATACCATTTGACCCAGCAATCCCGTTACTGGATATATATCCAAAGGATTATAAATCATTCTACTATAAAGACACATACACATGTATGTTTATTGCAGCACTATTCACAATAGCAAAGACTTGGAACCAACCCAAATGTCCATCAGTAATCGACTGGATAAAGAAAATGTGGCACATATACACCATGGAATACTATGCAGCCATAAAAAAGGATGAGTTCATGTCCTTTACAGGGACATAGATGAAGCTGGAAACCATCATTCTCAGCAAACTATCATAAGAACAGAAAACCAAACACTGCATGTTCTCACTCATAAGTGGGAGTTGAACAATGAGAACATATGGACATAGGGTGGAGAACATCACATACTGGGGCCTGGTGGGGGGTGGGGGGACTAGTGGAGGGATAGCATTAGGAGATATACCTAATGTGGGTGACCAGTTGATGGGTGCAGCAAACCACCATGGCATGTGTATACCTATGTAACAAAACTGCACGTTCTGCACATGAACCCCAGGACTTAAAGTATAATAATAATAAAAAAGAAGCCACTACACAGATGGGTCCCCTTGAAGGACCCGTATTTTGTTCCAAGCAGGAATTCCTTCCTCTTCCTGCCAGGCTTCTCTTTACCTGGCTGTGGACAAGTTGAAGCCTGCCTCAAAGAATGGTAGGGCCCCTTCCACATCTCCAGCAGCAGATGAAGTCTGGCTGGAATCAGAGGAAGACAGAACAAGCAACCTGACCCTCACCAGACAGTCCAAACCCTCAGCTTCTGCAAAGCTACAGGGGCCTAGAGAAAGATTCTCTATTGATAGTAATTCTTCTGGGGGATTTTCACATAACAAGGCCACAAAAGTGACCCTCTTCTTTCTCCTTATTGCCCTTCCAGGCTGGTGAATTGGGGTCACCCAAACCCCACAAGCTTCACTTTCCTCATTCATAAGGAAGGGATCTTAATTCCGACCCTGCAAGGATTCAGAGGACTAAGAATATACACTGGTAAGATGTAAGGGCCATCACTATTCTGTCCTAACCAAGTCAAATCATAGCAGAGCACCTGATTCAGTGCGTCTCCGTCAAAGTTACCCATGAGCATCATCAGGAAGTAGCTAGACAGATGATTGATAGATAGGCAGACAGATAGATAGATAGACAGACAGACAGACAGACAGATAGATAGACAGACAGACAGATAGATGATAGACAGATCATGATGCCCAGGCACTGGCCAGGACCAGTTGCATCTGATCTCTGCCAGTGGAGCTGGCATCAGTATTTTTTCAATGCACAGCCAGGGCCAAGAAGCTCTGGCCCAGTTTTCTCACTCACCCATTCCTTTCTTCAGGACCCAAGATCAGCTCCTTGTCAGCCACCAAATGGTTAATACAACTGGGTTCAGTGGGCTCCGGGGCAGCCCCTGCAGTGACCTTCACAAGGAGAGGCAAAGGAATGGTGAGACCCTGGTCGTGACTTGTCAGTAGGGATACTGGCTTGAAGCAAAGTCGATGACGACAGCAAAGCAGTTGTTTTTGAGCCCATACTGAGTGCTGGGCACCGTGCTGAGCACTTGACATGCATGGTGTCTCCTTTCATCCTCATTTTAACCCTCGAGGTGGCACTGTTAGGAAAGCAACTTTAGTGATGAGAGCACTGAGGCTTAGAGGGGTTAACAGCTGTCCATGGTCACATGGATCCTATGTGGCAGAAGATTTCACCTATGGCCCCATGGCGGGGACACATTCATCACCTCACCTCCCTGAGTGTAACCTTATCGTAGTCAAGCAGAGGGCACAGGGAAACCCAGCCCAGAAGGCGGGAGCCAGGTCCAGCTTTGAAGTAGCTCTGGCGGAGCAGGAAGAGCTCATGCTCAGCTAACAGTCAGGTGTGGGTCCATGCCCGTGCTCTGAATCACTCCTGGCTGCTGGCTTTCAGCAAATGGCAGCAGAATAAAGCAAGCTCACAGAACGGTGACCCATTCGGATGGCAAGGGCCCGACCCCAGAGACCTTAACAATTCTATTACACAGACTCAGGCAGAGATTAAGCTGTAGAGTCTCCTCCCCATCAGTCTGTCATGCTTGCCCCACGGAAAGTTGCATGTAATGTGTCCATGTGTGTATGCAGGGAGCTGTCCAAGGTCACTCACCAGTTACAGATAGAAATCTATCTGTAGTCTCAGGAAGTGCAGTGCTACTTTTCTTAAAATGTGGCACTGCGGGAACTTTTGGCCAAGCACAGGTTCTCCCCTGGGTAAACAACCCTCCTGGTCCGATTCGGTCCCTGGACTGTTGGCCTGGATCAGCCTAATGGCTGCATGGTAGATGTGGTGGCTTGGCACTCAGTATTCTTTCCACCCTCCTTCCAGTGGATTGTCCTGTACCATAGAGTCAAGAAGACCCAAAAGTACATTTCTCAGATGCCCTGGCAGGTAAAATGTGGTTTGGGTCCAGCCAATCAGATGCACTTGAGTAAGTGCTTTTGGATGTTAAGGTGAGGCAGGGGCCGCGCTGCCTCTGCTTTGCTCCTTCGGCTTGTGCAGAGGTATCTGCAGAAGTCCCAGTAGGTCAAGAAGCAGCGCCCTGGGCATCATTGTTTTACTGTTGTGAATCTCGCTGGTGACTGCTTCTGGATTCCCCTACTTCCCTGATTGTGGCAGAGGCGGGGGCTCTTCTGGCCGGCCAATTCTCCAGTGTTGTTCTGGGTGTCATTTTTGGAGACCTAGCTGAGACCCTGCTTCTCTCACCCCTCTATGATTCTGTAAGCGCCTAGTCCCCTGTCTTAAATCCCTTTTTTTCCTTAAACAACTAAAGTTACTTCTATTATCTGCAGTTAAATGAACTGTGATTCATATAGGTGTGCTCTCACCAACTTACCTGACCTCAAGTGTGGGACCCAGATGAATAAGGGGAGACAGCACTGCACTGAACCAGTAGCCAGAGATGAAGACTTCTGCGTCTAGCCCACAGGAGCACCTCAGTGAGTCACTTGCCTCACTTGAGCCTCTGTCTCCACATCTGTGCAGTGAAGACAGCCATGCAGCCCATACTCATAGGGCTGTCAGCAAACACTCACTGGACCAGGTCCTTCAGATGCTTAGTCTGAGGGAGGAGAGGGGCTGCAAATAGGGAAATGGTCCTGGCAGATGATTCTGCCGTACAGTGGGTCACAGAGGAGGCACAGGTTCTGCACTCCGAGAAGCATTCTAGCAGAAGTCAGCACTGACAGGCTAAGGGAGGTACGGTGGGAGAACCAACCAGAGCAAAGACCTAAATGTGTCTTTGGTCTTGCGAATTTGGGAAATGGTAAAGTGGAGGGCAAGATGAGGGCTGTGCTGCATCGGGAAGTGTCTCAGGAGGGCAGGGCCAGGCTGGGAACTCAGGCTTTCTCCTGAGGGTTTCAGGAGCAACAGTGGCACCAGGCCAACTCCACACCTACCAGCCTCCCAGCTCGTGCCTCTTCACAGCCATTGTACCCAATTTACTAGGTGTTTCAACATCCACAGCCAACCTGTGAGGTGGAAAAGCAAGTCCTGTTTGTCCCATTTTACAGATGAGGACGCTGAGGCTCAGAGGTAGGAAGCTGATCCAAGGTCACACAGGGGGCACATGGTGGGGAAGGAAGCGGGCCAGGCTGGCCCTCCCCGATACTCAGACCCGCTCTTCTCCACCAAGCCCTTGTCAGTTCTGCAGTGCCCAGTTCTTGGGGAGGAGCTGGACAGGCTGATGGAGCAACTGCTCTCACCCAGTTGGCTTCTGGCACACAGAGAGCTGAGTTCAAGGCTGAAGAAAGGGCCTGGGCTTCTGAACAAAGACCCGAAGGCCTGGAGTGAGAGCAGTGGAGGCTCTACCCACTCCCGACCCCAAAGTCCTGCCAGTCTTGGGATTTTAGGAAAAATGACATGGGACCTACAGGTAGAAGGCTGATCCTAACTCTGTCACTGACCCTGGGGAGGGCTCCCACCTTACTGAGTCTCAGCTTGCTTGTCAGGAAAATGGGGATAATAAACCTTGCTTTTGTTACTTTCAAGGTTTTTGGAGAGACAAAAGTGATAGGAGAAGGGACACAGAAGCCCCTGGTCACCCAGGAGACCCAGTTGTCTGGGGTCTTCTCTTGAGGCCTGGGGCAAGAGGGGTGGGGGCACAGTTTTCTCTCCTGCCCCTTGGTTCCCATCTCTAATTGGTGCCCCCTTCCCCCTCTGCCCAGCCTGTAGGGCAGCTCCCTGACATCTCTTTCCTGTCTTTGTCTTTGTCCTTCCTCGGGTCCCTTCTCTGAAGAATCAGGGGTGGGACTGGGGGCCATGGATGCAGAGACAGTGGGAGGAAAGACCTTCAGCAGCCAAGACTCCCTCCTGCTCTCTGGAAGGCAGAACCTGAGACCCCCACGAGCTAGGTTTGGTCACAATCTCGCGTGGCCAAGGTGCTCACCCTTTTGTTTCTAGCATCTTAACACAGTGCAGTCACCGCTGCCATCCCACCATCAGCTCTGTGACAAGTTCCATCCCATTAACTCCTCCATATCACCATGGCAACACTGGCTCCCGACTCTCCCAAAGATAGGAGATAGGCACGCCACCAACACCAGGGTGGGACTGCGCTCCATCCACAGCTACGCAGGGATGGGCAGAGACCTCAATGCATTCACAGTGATGGCAGCCACATTGCCTGAGCTCCTACTCTGCATCCGGCACAGCCCCTGCCTCCAGAAACAACCCCTCACCCAAGATACCCATGGCCACTGAGTGTGTTTGTTAGCACAGGGCTTTCAGCTTATTTTAGGTTAAGTTTCTCTATGACCACTTGCCCGCCCTTTCTCTGCCTGGCACTGAAATCTAAGCAGGCGCAAGGCAGACCTGGAGTTTATCTAGTAATTGTACACAACAGTTGTACATTCGTATTTTCTCACGATTCCCCAGTGTAAACCTCTAAAGTATATGGGGTGGCTCCCCTCACTTTATAGAAGAAATGAAAGCCTGAAGAGGTTAACATATCCAGGGTCACATTGCCATTAGGTGGAAGACTATTTGAATTCAGGGCTGTTTTTTACTTGGTATAGTTAGCATTTATGTAGTTCTTCTAATATGCCAGGCACTGTCTATCCTTGATGCATATTAACTCTTTTAATCCTCATATCAACCCTATGAGGTACGTACTATCAATAGCTCCACCTTACAAATGAGGAAACGGAAGCCCAGACAGGTCAGGTAGATTGCCCAGAGTCACACAGAAAGAGACGGAGCATGGACTCAAGACCAGGCAGTCTGGCTCCTGAGTTTGTGTCCAGAACCACAATACTATGCTTGATTATAATTCTAGGGCTCCTCACTCCCAGCCGCACCCCATCCCACCCTGAAGTCAAGAAATTGACCACCTGGCCATCTCTCCAACAGCCACGCCTGGCTCTCACTGAACTGGCTGGCCTCTCTCTCAAAAGAACTAACTGGCTAGTTTTGAGGATTTTATCTCCCCAACCAGTCTGCTGCATTCTTTTCCAATTTCCCTAGCTCTCAAAGTGATCTCGCATTTCCACTCATCGCACTGGGCTTTAAAATGCTCCCATTTGGAACAACAGCCGAGAATTGTCTTCCTTCAGAGAGAAGAGCCTTCCAATGCCCTCACAAGGGAAGTCCCTCTTGTCCTCCCACACTCAGCCTGTCTACAAAGACCATTAATGCAATCACTTAACAAGAGACTGGCTCTAATAGAAAGAAAGAAAGAGGAGGAGCATTGTTAGTGGTTTGAAGGGGAGAAGAAATCATAAAATCCATTAAACCTGTATTTGTCTCATTAAAAGTGTTTCTAATTTATAATGTCCTGGAATGCAGATGCCACCCAGCTGTGTGGGCCTGGTAGTACTGCCTGGCATACCCCCCCACACACACTCCTGGGCCCCCTCTCCCACCTCGCTGGGACTGCCATCAATTTCTGCTCATCAGCAGCACTTACAGTAAATGGATTCATTTGTGGCAATGGGAGCTGAGAGACAAAGGTGACAATATAATTAAGGTTTTTAATTCTATGCCTGAACAGTTAAGTCCAGAACTCATGATAATTAGCGGGCTGTAATGAAAGATCTTTAATCGTTATTTTCCCTTTGTTTCCTATAATTGTTCATTTTGGCCAACTACATTTGTCCTTTCATTTGAATCTGGCTGCACAGTTCTATGTCACTTTCATTATTCCTGTAAACTCTAAAGAAAATATGTTGTGGAGCTGGTCATTTACAAAGTCGGTGGCGAGATGGCCTAGGGAGCTCAACCATGCACATCTGCTGATGGGGGCCGTGGCTACTTTCTGGAGGAGAGGAAAACTGGGCTTCAGAAATCCACAGGACTGGGGATGTGTCTACAGAAAAGCAAGACTCACAGGAGAATGAGAAAGCAACAAGCCCTTCACAGCTAAATGGGCCACACAAGTTGGTTTGCAAACTGGTTCTTAGAGAGATGATTGTTACTACACAAGTTCTCGATTCTCAAATGTATGCATTGTTTTTTCACATGTTGGTGTTCCTGTTAGAATGTATCTTATAATTGGTGTGTATATTTAATGTCATGTCTATCTTTTGTATGTCCTGCAAAGTTGTCGATGAATTGACAGTGTTTCCTACAGTTGATGGCACGTTAGAATTGATAAATCATGATGAAGGTACCATCCAAACAACAAGTAACTTATTGAGGACCTGCTACATCCCTGCTCTCATGGTCTGTACAGCCTGGAGGACCATCAACTCAGCCTCCTCTCCAATCACTGCTGGGTGGCCAGACAGGACATTTTTCACTTGCTATGAACTGCTTGAACCCTGATTCAACTATGGATTCAGAGAGTCAGATTTCTTACAGGCAAGTGCCTCTCAGGAACCAGAAAATGGAAGCAAGAAGGCTGGAGGCTTCTAGCAAGGAAATGGCAGAACCCAGCCCAGGACTGGAGAATGGTTCAGCTGGGAAAATTGGGATTGTGATAGAAAAAGGAAAACCACTCTGGGACAGGTTATAGGGAATGCACTGGGATATGCGGGACACCTGGGCAGACCTATGTGGCTTGTGAGACATCCCATGCATTCCCCCCTCCCTCCACTCCTTCTCTCAGTCCTGAAAGTCGTTTGCCCAAGGCCACACACAAGCTCATATATTTCTGGAGAGGATTAGGGATAATCTGTGCCTCTTCTGATGTACTGCCCTTCAACTCAAGGTTCTGGGTGTTGCCTCATCTCAAATTGCCTCTAATTGCCATAAAGAGGAAAATTCAGCCACCTCAACAGAAATCTTCTTGCTCTTCCCCAAGTTGTTCTACACACAAAGTCAGAGTAATTATTTGAAAATCACATGGTGCTTCCCTGTAAAAATATTCAGTGGCTTCCCAGTATCCCGAGAAAAAAACCATCTAAACTCCTATTATAAAAACATTCGAAGGAGTTCTGCACGGCCTGCTCTCCTCTGCTCTTACCTCGGACCTCCCCGTCTAGCCTGGCTGCTTCGCCCTACATGCAGCACACTCATCTCAGCTTTGGGGACTTCTCTCATGTTGTTCCCTCAGCGTGGAGACTTCTCCAACTGCCAATAGTGCCCTGCTCTCTAGTTCAGCTCAAATGTCACTTTCCCAGTATTGCTACCTGAATTATGCCCCATTATTTTGTTTCTTGACACACTTATTCAATGTGTAATTATAGAAGAGACTGCGGGTTTGTTTACTGTGTTTCCACCCATAGATGGTGAGGCCCATGAGGAGAGGGTCTGAAGGTGTTTCCTCAGAGCCCAGACCATTCACATAGATCACCGTGTATCTTCAAGTCTGCATTCTGAAAGCTCCCGTGTCACTAAAAGTATGACAAAATAAATGCATTATGGGAAAGAAACAGAAAGGAAGAGAAGGGAAGAGAAGAGAAGGAAAAAAGGAAGGAAGGAAGGAGGGAGGGAGGGAGGGAAGGAAGGAAGGAAGGAAGGAAGGAAGGAAGGAAGGGAGGGAGGGAGGGAGGGAGGGAAAGAAAAAGCAAAAAAGAGCGTAGACCAGCGCCTGGTACAGGAAGCACTGAATCCATTTTGTTAAACCAGAGCTAACCCTTGAAGGCCTCTTTCTAGATGAAAAGGAACCTGCCAGGCGCGGTGGCTCATGCCAGCACTTTGGGAGACCCAGACGGGTGGATCACCTGAGGTCAGGAGTTCGAGACCAGCCTGGCCAACATGGTGAAACCCGTCTCTACTAAAAATGCAAAAATTAGCTGGGCGTGGTGGCGGGCGCCTGTAATCCCAGCTACTCGGGAGGCTGAGGCAGGAGAGTCGCTTGAACCCGGGAGGTGGAGGTTGCAGTGAGCCGAGATCACGCCACTGCACTCCAGCCTGGGAGTCAACACTGAAACTCCGTCTCGAAAAAAAGAGGAACCTGAGGCAATGGAGACCCCCTGAAGGATGAGGTCTGGGGTTGTCACACAGGAAAGCAGCGGATGAAGGCGCAGCCCAGAGCCCTTCGGGGGCCTCTCAGGCCACCAAGCAGCCCGGGAGTCCCGACAGTTCGCCTCTGGGGCCTCAGTGTTAGGGACGGGGAGAGGCGGGGCTTCCTCCGCGGGGGCGGTGCCTCGGCCCAGTTCCAGGGGCGGGCTCTTCCTCAGGGAGCTTCCTCATTGGCTACCCACTCGCCCAATGAAGTTCCACCTCTCGGAGGTAGACGCTCTACCCAAGTGGGCCCCTCTCTATGGTCCCACTTCCTCCCGCCCAGAGTCTCCGGGGAACCACAACACGTTACCCATGGGCACCTGTGAAGCTGAGGCAACCTTCTGGACCCCAGCGCACGCTCTCGGCCAGCTGTCTTCCTGCTCGAGCCCCTTATGCACAGGAAGTCTCACTCCTCGCCGAAGAGCAGGTTCATCTATTAATTCAGTCAACCAACACGCAACACCTGCTGTGTGCCAGGCTTTGTGCAGGCGCTGGGGGCATAGGAGGTGATCCGGTTTCTTTCTGTGCATTCTCTCTTACTCTCTTAGAACCATCTCAGACACAGCCTGGGCTTAGTGACCTCCACGTGTGGGACATTCTTGTTTGCTCAGACGTCCCTCCTGGAGATCTCCAGTCCTCCTGGATGCTTGTCCCACAGTCCCCCTCCAGCACGACATGAGTCATTCGTTTATTTACTCAAAAAATATTTAGCGATCACCTACTAGAAGCCGACACTGTTGTAGGTTCTGGGGATGGCGCTGTGAACACGGCAGATGGAATTCGTACTCTCTTATATGCTGATTGAGCAAAGACAAGAAACAAATAATAGATGAATGTGATTGTTTGCCATGCAGTGATCACTGCTGTGAGGAATGAAAGCTGGGCCCCACGGAGGAGACGATGTTTCCGCAGATGGCTCTGGTCGAAGAAACATCAGTTCTCCCCACACCTGTTCCTCCTCTTTCTGTCAGTGGCGTCTCCAGTCTCTCCTGACCAGAAAACCTGGAGTCCCCAGCTCTTCCCCTGTGGACTCCATCCCATGTCCCTCTCGCACCGGCCCACTCCCTGCACGCCTTCCCGTCCTCCCCACCTCGTCTCTTCCCTCCCTTCCTCTTGTCTCATTCCTGTCCCCTTCTAACTCATCTTCGCCCGCCGCTGCCAGGGTCGCCTCCCATCCATAGCTGCTTAAAGACCTGCGGTGGTGACCAGGTGCTCTCGACAGAAATTGCATAATTCCAGCTTGATAATCAGTGTCCTCCACAATCTTGTCCTAGCTAGCCCCCCAATCTTATCCTTCATGACAATGTTTTGCACCCCCAGCATGGGGACTTGGCGGTATGTTCACAGCGTTTACCTCCTCTGACCCCCTGCTCGCCGCTAGTTTCCTCCTCCTGAAGGCCCTCCTCCACCCTTGGTGGCTAAGTGCCGGCGCCACCTGCCACCTGCGCCACCTGCCACCTGCCACCTCCTCCTCCGAAATTCCTTCCCTCACACGCGCACACACACATCACACACACCACAGCACACACACACCACACACACACACCACTCACACACACCACTCACACCACACACACACCACAGCACACACACATCACACACACCACAGCACACACCACTCACAGCATACACACCACAGCACACACACCACTCACACACATCACACACACCACAGCACACACCACTCACACCACACACACCACAGCACACACCACAGCACACACACACACCACTCACACGCACCACTCACACACCATTCACGCACCACGCACACACCACAGCACACAGACACATCACACATACCACTCACACACACCACACACACCACAGCACACATACATTACACACGCCACTCACACACCACAGCACACACCACTCACACACCACACACAGCACACACACATCACATACACCACATACACCACACAAACACACCACACACAAACCACTCACACCACAACACACACATACCACACACACCACAGCACACACACACCACACACACACCACACACACCACAACCACTCACCACACACACCACTCACACACCACAGCACACACACAACTCACACACACCACAGCACACATGCACTACATGCACCACTCACACGCACAAAACAGACACACCCCACTCACACACACCACCTACACTACAGCACACACCATTCACACACACCACAGACACCATTCACACACACACAACTCACGCACATCACACAGACCACATACACAACCACACACATCACACACACACACACCACATACACCACAACACACACACCACATAAACACACTACACACCACACACACACACATCACTCACACATGCCACTCACACCATACACCACTCACAATACACATACCACATACACCACACCACACACAAACATCACACGCAAAGACAACACACACATTACTCACCACACATACACCACATCATACATGCACACGCACCACACATACACATGCACCACACATATGCCACGTCACACACATCATACACAAATACACCCCCCACACCCCACACAAACACCCCACACAACTGTACACACCACACAGCTGTCGTCGTGGTCCTCCTTCCTCCAAGGCCCTCAGCGCCTTACCTGCCCCTCTCTTGACCCAGCAGTTGCTGAGCTGCTTCAGGACAACAGCATTTCCCAGCACATGTGGCCCCCTGAGGCAGTGCCACAGAAGGGAGTGACTGAGTGCGTGTTCACCCTGTGACCTTAGACTATTTAAGCCCTCTCTGCCTCCGTTTCCCTATGTGTAAAATGAGGACCAACTAGGTGGATATACATCAGTACTTAAAACAATGATTGACAGTCCTACTGACTGTGATGGTGACCGTAACTAGTCCTGGGTAGAGGAGTCAGAACGACGGTGCGGAAGCAGATGCCAGCTCAGATCTCAGGGAGGGCCTCGGGGTCGATCCACCCCAGGTCAGCCTAAGTCAGTCTCTCCCAGGTCTCCCCTCCTGCCTGACAGGCTGGTAGGACCCGGGAGGATACCCAGCTGGATGCTCTCCTCCCCCCAAAAAAGCTGGGGAGATGCCTATCCTTACATATTACCCACACTCCACGCACACACACACACACCTGCTTCCATCCTGTGACTGAGCCCTGTTCCTCCACTCCCAGCAGCCGCCACCAGGGAAGGTGAGTCCTCAAGGTCACCCGACAGGCGCTGGGCTGCTGGGAACCAGGCATTGTCTTCGGTTGCTGGGGTCCCGAGGGAGCTCCCCAGGCGCCTGGAGAGCTTATGGCCACCCTGACGGGCCATGTGGGGCGAGAGTCAGGCTCTCTCCCTCCCAGGATGGATGGGGTCCATTTGCCAGCACACTGAGAAGTCAGGAGCTCACAGTCACCTTGAGCAAGGCTCTCCTCACCTGAGCAGCGCATCCCTCACTGGAGATGGCAGAAGTGCTCACGTCGCTGCCTGCCCCTGTCTGCATGACACCAGCCTGCCACAAAGAGACTTCAAGGTCCTCTGTAATCCCCACAGAGGAACCCAGGCCTCCCTCCCAGCTCCAGAGGAAACTTTGGGGAGTCCCATTGCCTCCCTATGCCCCCACTTCCCCCCATGTGAAATGGTAGTACACCCCAGCCTGGCTCCCTCCTGCACAGTGTTGCAGGAGACGGGCTAGGGAGAGGGATGGGTGGGGAATGGAGACTACTCTCTCTATGCTCATCTCCCAGGAGGTAGGTGTCAGACCCCCTGAACCTCACCCCCATCTCAGGTGGTCCTACTCCAGGGGACAGAGAGGGAGGGGTTTCAACCCCACAGTTCCCCCAATCCCAGCTTCAAGCTGTTTACCTGCAGCTACTCAGCCAGGTAAACAACAATCCTTTGCAATTTCTTTTTTTTTTTTTTCTTTTTTGAGACAGAGTTTCACTCTTGTTGCCCAGGTTGGAGTACAGTTGCTTGAGCTCAGCTCACTGCCACCTCCGTCTCCCAGGTTCAAGCGACTCTCCTGCCTCAGCCTCCCGAGTAGCTGGGATTACGGGCACCTGCCATCATGCCTGGCTAATTTTTGTATTTTTAGTAGAGACGGAGTTTCACCATGTTGGCCAGGCTGGTCTTGAACTCCTGACCTCAGGTGATCCACCTCAGCCTCCCAAAGTGCTGGGATTACAGGCGTGAGCCACCGCACCCAGCAATCTTTTGCAGTTTCTTCAATGCGTTGATCCCAATGGGAAGACAAGATGATGACAAAGGTCCCAGGAGTGACGTGTAACTGAGCACCTCTGTGTGCCACATGCTTTCCAGGTAAAGCTTGCTAGAATCTCACAGCTGCTGTAGGAGCAGCATCACTATTGCCCCACTTCACAGATAAGAAAACAGAGGCCCAGAGAGGTGACATTATTTCTCCAAGGGCACACAGCTTCTGAATGGTGGGACTGAGATTGAAACCCAGGAGGCTCTGGTTTTGGTGATGATCTCCACTCCCTTGGGCTTGTCCCCTGCCTTCAGGACACTCATTCCAGAAGTCACCTTGGACAGATTCAGGTAAAAGTACCAAGAACCCCAAGCGAAGAGCTGCTCCTCTCATCATAGTCCTAAAGGCAGAAATCGGTTGGGGGTCTCAAATGCGTCGCTTCAGCCCCCTCTCCGGAGCTCGCTCACAACACACAGAATAAACCTAAAACTGGCCTTGGTGTGGGGATGTGGGGGCACAAACACGTATAGAAGTCAAGGCAGGCCCCAGGCTATCCCCTACACTCCCTCACCAAGCAGAGCCACTGCCCTCATTCCCACTGCCACCCGCCCTCTCCTCCCTGGCCTCGCGACCTCCAGTCTGTCTCACTAGACCTGACTTCCTAAAACGGCACTGGGTCATGGCACTGCTCAGCGGCTCCAGAGAAAGTCCAGAATCCTTACCTTGGCACTCAAGGCCCTTAAAATCTCCTGCACGCCCTCTGCCACGCCTCTGGATCCCACTCACCCCATCTCTTTCCTGACGCCAAGGCTTTTGCTGATGCTGTTCCTTCTACCTGGCATGCCTGTCCCCTCTCCGCTGTCACCTTACCGGGATGCCCTGACCTAAGCTGGTGCTATGCAGGCATCCATGGTGCTCTTAGCCCTGCACTTACCACATGACTTGGCTGTTATCTGCCCTGCCACACTTCACTTGCCCCTGCAGATGCAGAGGCTGTGGTTCATCCACCCCCGTGTTCCCAGTGCAGGACAGGGACTGGCCCAGATCAGGAAATGCGTGTGCTTGGAATAAGTGAAGGAAGACAGCCAGGCCAGAGGCAGAAGGACCCCACCCTGCCCGACCTTCAACAACATCTCGTGAACCCCTTCCTGTGCTAGACCCTAGAATCGATCCTGAGGCACTGACTCAAGTAAGAGTTCCATCCCATCTCAAGGCTCCTCACAGGCTTCCAAGGAGCCCATGGGTTACAGTGGTTAAAAGCACAGGTTCAAATCCTGTCTCTGCTATTTATGAGCTGTGTGATCTTACACGAGTTTCCTACCCTCTCTGTGCTTGTTTCTTTGTTTCGTCATCTATAAAATGGGAACAACAGCAGCTACCTTAGATGGTGATTTGAAGAATAAACGAGATCACGAGTGTGAAGGTGGTTAGGACCTTGCCTGGCACATTGTTAATGCTCAATATTATGCTCCCCGACCTGGTCCCTGCCCTTGGAGCAGCCTCCCTCAGGTGGATGTCCACAGCCTGGTGCTCCTGGCCTGTCAGGGAGCCGGCGAGCAGAGCCAAGAAGGCACAGGCTAAGTTGTCACCCAGATGGGAGTGTAAGACATGGCTCCACCAACTGGCTGTGTGAATTTGAGAAAGATACATGTGAAATGGGCCATTTCACCCAGAACCAGCGGAGCCTTTGTTTTCCCTTAGGACAAGTGGGAGGGAAAGAATAATTGTTCTGCCTGCCTCACAGAGCCTTGTGAGGATAGAGCAAGATAGTGGGAGTTCAAGTCCTTTGTGGGCTGAAGAGGGATTATCTAATCAGAGCCACCATGTCCAGGGAGGCAGTTGGGGGGACCAGGCTTGTATGAGCCTAAGGACATGCACAATATACAGGAACCCTGGGACAGGGGGAGAGTGGGGGATCAGAGGGTCACAGATGCCTGACATCTTGATCAGTAGGGCCTTGGTGAGCTTGGAGGGGCACACCCTGCTGAGACCCCATCCTCTGGCCCCAGGTGCTGATTTCCCTGCCTATCTCCCCAGTGCCTGCCGAGGTCGCCATGACAGCAAGTGCCACTCCCGAAGATTCACCCTGGCCGCAAGGCTGTTCCTATGCCCTTGAATCTATTAGACAGAGCAAAGTGATTAATTATTTTACTGTCTTTATGGCATCAACTTTAACTTGCTTCACATCCAGATTTCCAATTACATAAGCCAGAGTCTTAAGCTCAGGAGGACGTGTATTATTGAACTATTTATAATCAGAGTTTTTCAGAGCAGAAAAGCTCTGCTAGGTGGGAGCTACACAGCCAAAATTAATGATTTGGAGACCAAGGGGCAATCTTTCCATAATCAGAGGGGTGTGAGATGCAGGCAGGGAGAACAGAGAGGTTGAGTCTGAATCAAGGATGGCAAAGCACTTTCTCCTGAAGGACACAGAGCCCCAGGGGAAGACATCAATTGGTGGGTGGGGGTCAGGGAGACACACTCATGCCAACAGCAATCAAATGTACCTTGGGGAATTATTCTTTGAAGACAATGATGCGACCTAGGTTACCCCAACCACACCAACCCTGGGTGTGAAGGGGGTCATTATGGATAGCTAATGCTTCACTGTTTCATTGTGCCCCCTCTACCTGATAATTCTGGCTGTCTAGCTGCTTCCAGTACCTCTTCAAGTATTTCTGGAAAACTCTTATGTTTTTACCAGTTATCCTCTCAGCTACTGCTTCTCCTCCTTCTTCTTCAGCTTTCTGCCAAGTCATGGGAGAACGCAGCCCCCCCCCCCCCACACACACACACACACTGCCTCTGTGCCCGCCTTGAAGCCACCTCCCACTGGGCAGCACCATCTTCGCCACCATTATCTGCACCCTGGATGGTCCACAGCCAGCCTGCGTCCCTGTGGGGACTGCCTCTCCCCCACTTTGGCATTGTTCCAAGGAGTCTTGTGTTCCAATATTTTTCAGAAGTTTTATTTGGACCAATCCCCTCCCCAGAGGCTCCAGACACAAATCCATGATAGGCTTGGACCAGGAGGAAAGTTCTCCTCCTGACTGGTGGGTGACTCAGGCTGGTTGCCAGGCTTAGTTTATCAACCTGGCTCTCCTTGCCACAGGCAGATTCCTGGAGGACCCTCCAGTCAGTCCCCCAGACAGGCTCAGCTCAGGATCAAGTTGGGTAGCTGCCACAGGACCACAGAGGGAACAGAAGCTGTGAGATTGTTTCTATTTGTTGAGCTCTAGGTATATGCCAAGTGTTGGGCCAGGCTGTGTCCTCACAGCACCCCATTAGGTACATGCCATTAGCCCCATTTCACAGATAGTAAAACCGAAGCTCAGAAAGGTTGAGTAACTTGATCTGGGTCCCATCGCTAGAAGATTGTACCAGGCTCTACCAGGATCCATACCAGTTCTATTGAATGCTGTTTTCGTCCATTTGAACTGCTATAATAGAAAACCATAGACTGGGTAGCTATAAGCAACAGAAATTTATTTCTCACAGTTTTGGGGGCTAGGAAGCTGAAGGTCAAGGCATCAGCAGATTTGGGGTCTGGAGGGAGCCAGCATCCTCGTTCACAGACACCTGTCCTCTTGCTGTCTCCCTACATGGTGGAAGGAGCAAAGAAGTGCCCCCAGGGCTCTTTATAAAGGCACTAATCCCATTCAGGAGGGATCTAATCACCTACCAGAGGCACCCCCCCACTCCAAATACCATCACCCTGGCGCTAGGATTCCAACAGATGGATTTGGGGGCCTTTGGTAGGTTCAAAGTTTTGACTCTCCCTCCTGCTGCTTGTTTAAGAGCACAAACTCAACAACTTCTTACCAGGACTTTATTTCATAGAAGAAATAAATGTTTTGTTTATTTGTTTTCTTCAAGGAAAGCAGAGGGAAGAACTCTCTCCTTGACAAATGTGGGCACTGGCTTGTTCCCTCCTGGAGTGTGTGTTTGCCAAAGTAAAGCTGTAGTCTTAAAAAGACTACCCAAGAAAATGTATCATGCCTTCTTTAAAAAGCTGTGTGTGTGTGTGTGTGTGTGTGTGTGTGTGTGTGTGTGTGTCCATAGAACTTCTTCCATTTCTTCCTGAGCACAGAGCTGGACTACATTTCCCAGCCTTACTTGGCGTTGGGCATGGCGTGTGACTTGTTCCAGCCAATGGAATGAGAGAAGACCCTTGTGTTCTAGTTACCGCTCAGTCCACAAAAACCTCCCCCAAGTGATCCTCATGCTCATTCCCTTTCATCAGTTTGATACAAATTGGTGTCATGACTGTGGAAACCAGAGGTTGAAGGGACAGGGCAAGGAGGTGAAGGAGCCTGGGTCCCTAAACCAACACTGAAGAAGGACCACCCACCTATCTAGAGTTGCCAGAATTAACAAAAATGAAAACAAAACATCTAGGTAGGTTTGAACTTCAGATAAGCAATGAATGCCTTCTTAGTATACATCCCAGCTTAGGGGCAGAGGCAACCCCAGCCACCTTTCTGAACCAGTCCTAGATGCTTAGAAAGCCTGAGTAGAGAGTTATCACTTGGAAAAAATTATTTGTGGTTTCTCTGAAATTCAAATTTAACTAGGTGTCATATTTTATCTAGCAAACCTATACCTATCAGAACATGTGTGTGGTACTTTACAAGTGAGACATAAACATCTGTTGTTTGAGCCATCATATAATTAGGAGTTTGTTATAGTAGCCAGCATTACCTTAGCTAATACCCTATCACTCTCCTGAGGCATCAGATATTACATAGTCCAGGCAGATGAGCTTAGTCTAGCCTGGTCGATGTACATGCAGCTGTACATATCATCAGCTCTTCTTGCCTGGACTACTCTAGTTCAATAAACCTTTGGGGTTTTCTCCCTTCCATGAACACATTTAGAGCACCTGGAAGGAAGAGAGGACTAACTTGGTTCTTGCCCAACCCCCACCCCCAGGAGCTCTCCACTTAGCGTAACCACAAACAGGTACAAACTAAGTCTCAGAGGGCTCAGAGATTAAGTCATTCAGGGATGACAGGAGTGTGGGGGAGGATTTGGAGAACAGTAGCAGCAACACTGGGTCCCTCCTGGAAACGTGGTAACAGCCACCATCTTTGACACCCATAGAGCAAGTGCCTTGGTGGACAAATAACCAGCCCTTCCATGCTGGGACTGGCTAGATGAGGAGCTGTGAGGTCAGGAATACAGAATCTTGTAGTTGGATCCCGGGACCCATTGTGGGGGTTTCCAGGGAGTTATTTCTAATGTGGCCCAAAATAAAGAGCCAAGATTTTGGAGCTTCATAGACACAGGTTCGAGTCCTGGCTTTGCTGAACTATATGACCTTATTATGCAGTTTATTTCACCTCTCCAAGCCTCAGTTTCTATCCCCATACGATGAGATAGCTCCAAACAAGTACAGCAGGATTACCCAAGGTGATGAACCGAAAGTGTCTAGCTCATGGTTTGTGCCTAGCAAACAATACTTCCTCTCTGAGGGTCTGGTTCCTGAAGAAGAGAGGTGAGGGGAGCCTACGTTTTTTATTATTCCCCAGTTTCCACTAATATGCCCGTCCTCCACTCCCACTTCCTTGGAACATGGCCTGGAGACCACAGCAACCGTGATTGGCTTGAAGGAGCTATGTTTCTGATGCCTCTTTCTTTCCAATCGATGACAAAAGAGTTTCCATCGCCATAAAAATTGAGTTTCAAATAGAAGCTGGGTTCCAGGCCAGCCCCCAAACCAGCCTCATTAATAATATTGCTAAATCCCTGCCCCTTAATAGCAAAACAGACTTTAAGTGGGTAAGCCTGGAAACTCAATCGCTACTTCTAGCCTTGTTTCTTCAGGCCTGAGCCTTGCTCCTTCAGAAGAGACCCCCTTGTGAAATTCACACCCCAGGGATGGCAGGTGGGGCCTGAGCTCCAGCATCCAAATGCTCATTTCCAGCGCCCACAACTCACCTGCTGCTGGAAACACTCCTGTTGATTCCTCCGGAGCCATTACCGTTCGTCATGTTTATCTGCATTTAGGTGCAGTGGGGATTCATACACTTCAATCTGTCTTTGCTCATGAAGCAATGGCCCAAAAAATGGTAATGACACCTCTGACGCTGCAGCATTACTGCATTCCTCACAGAGAGGGTTGCCAGATATAGCAAATAAGAACAGAACGCCCAGTTAAATTTGAATTACAGATAAACAATGAGTTATTGTGTAGCGCAAGTATGTCCCACCTAAGCATGGGACATACTTATACTTACTAAAAATTCTTCATTTATCTGCAATTCAAGTTTAACAGGGCATCTATATCACAACTCTTTCTCTGCATCCTTCTGGTGCACCTGGGCCATACCAGCTAGAGAGTGTTCACAGTCAAGCAAGCAAGAACTGGGGTGGTTGGGCATCTCCCTCCTCGGCCAGATTCCAACCTGGCTTTCTGTGACACCTGCACCCATCCCAGCCTTCAGCAATAGGACCCCTTGCTTTTCCCTAAACACACATTTTCCTCCCCACAGGCTTTTGCCCACACTCATCTTCTGCCTGGATTATCTGTTCCTCTGTCTCTTTTTCTCTTCTACCTTCCTGCTCTTTCAAAGCTGAGTGCCCAGGCCACCTTCTCTATAACATGCCATGCTCCCCAGGCAGGTGATTCCTTCGCCCTCTGTTTTTCCACAGTGCCCAGTGTCCACCACTCTCTTAGGACAATGAACACTTTCACTGGAGCAGCTGCTCTGTGCAAAGTTCTGTGCTAGGCTCTGAGGCTGGCAGAGATGAGCAGGTCACAGACTCTGCCCTCAAGCAGCCCAAGATCTATAGGGGAAAAGAGATATGGATGCAAATAGCCATAGAGGAAACCATTCTGACTGCAAGGCCAGTCTCTAAGTGCAAGCTGGAGAAAGCAAATGGTAGAGCAAGGAGGAAGCAAAGCTCCATTTCATCTGGGGGTGTTGGGGAAGACTTCCTGGAGGAGGTGGAATGGGGCTACGGTAGGATGAGTAGGAGCTTCAACAGGGGACTGGAGTTCCAGGCAAGGGAGTAAATCAGCAAAAGCGTGTGGCCAGAAAGGAAAGGACTTACCTGGAGAATAGTAAGAAGTATGGGCAGCAGAAGTGGGGGTGTGAGTGTAGGTGTGGGTGATGTGAATATGAACCCAGAGCTGAAGGCAAGGTCAGGGTGGGGGGTTGCTGAATGACCCCAGTCTGGGGTCTCTGGATGATGTTCTAAATCGTCAGAACAATAGTGACTGACTGTTTTATACTTACCATGTAGCAAACATTGTGCAGGGCACTTTATAAATGTGTTATCTTATTTAATTTACTTCTCCCTTTAGCCCTACAGGGGAGATTTTGTTTTCATTTATAAATAAGGAAAATGAAAAATCAAGGGCTTTGTCGAAAGTCACATAGCCTGATAACATTGGAGCTTGAACCCTGATCTGTTTGATTCCAAAATCTGTGTTCCACCCACACCATCCTACCATCCCAACGACAATGGAGTGTCATCACAGACTTTGAGCAGAGATACGTTTGAGGCTTGGAACTGGCTTGGAAGGGGAGTGGCTGCAGATGGGTGAACGAACTGGAGGCTGATGTCACTCCTCAGAAGAAGGCGATAAGTCCCCGACGCCCACTGGGCAATGAGATGGAGATAGGTTTAGTCAACTCATCTGGCAGGGCTGAGCCCAGAAGGCCCCTGAACACACAGTTTTCCTTTGCTTCCCTTCAAGAGCACCAGTGGGCTTCAGGCTGTGTTCCAACAGCATCAAACTTTTCTTAGTCCCTAAGCTTCCCCAATGCCCTCGGGGTAAGCCCAGTGCACCTGATATCTGCCCATGAGGGGAAGAGGCCAGCACTGAAGGAGAGGGACCCAGCCCCACCCTCTGCCTTTTAGGGTGACCAGCCATCCTAGTTTTATCAGGACAGGTTGGGAGAGGTTCTCAGAGTCAGGGACTTTCAGTGCTAAAACTAGTAAAGTCCCAGGCAAATTGGGATGAGTTGGTCACTCTACTGCCCAGCGAAGACATCTGTACAGGCCATCCATGCAGGAGGGTGACAACTGCAAAGGAGGCTAGGACACTTTGGGGTGATTAATGTTTGCAGTTGTCATCCTCCTGCACAGATGCCTTCAAGTGCCTTCACTTCCTGGTGGCACCTGGAAAGAGGGGGATATTTTTATTGTGTCTAGATTCAAAGCAGATGAGCTGAATTCTCTACAGTGAAGTCAAGACTGCACGTGGCTTTGTGTTTCTGTGTTTCTCTGTGTCTATGCGTGTATCTGTGGAAATGTGCACAAGAGCTTGTGTTGGGATGATGTGGGAAATCCTCAACTATTTACGTGAAAATAAATATCCTTATTTATTTAGAGGGAATAGAAATTTGCATGAAGATTATGTCCAAGGAAACTCATCTAGCATTTTTTTCTTAGAGAAAAGAAAAAGGAAACTTAAACATCCAAAACTAGGAAAATAGTTAAGTTACGAAACTTGCATACAATGAAATATGGCATACTCATTACAAACTATATTATAAAAGAATATGTGATGACAGTGGTAAATATTCATGGTGTATAAAAAGAAGTTAATAACACAGTATACGTGATGTGACTGTTTTTTAAATAGACTTTGTTTTTTAGAGCAGTGCTAGATACACAGCAAACTGAGCATAAGGTGCAAAGAGTTCCTGTACACCCCACATGCCTGCACACGCACAGCCTCCCCTGCCACCAATGTCCCCACCAGAGTAATGCATTTGTTACAATTGATGACCCTGCAACGACACATCATAATCACCCAAAGTCCATAGTTCACGTTAGGGTTCTCTCTTGGTGTTGTATATTATATGGGTTTGGACAAATGTATAATGATATCTATCCATCATTAGAATATCAGAGTAGTTTCACTGCCCTAAAAATCCTCTGTGTTCTGCCTACTCAACCTTCTCTCTCCCTCTCTCCTGGCAACCACTGAGCTTTTTACTCTCTCCATAGTTTTGCCTTTTCCAGAATGTCATGCCGTATGTACCTGTTCACAGTGGCTTCTTTCACTCTGTAATATGCATTGAAATTTCCTCCATGTCTTCTCATGGCTTGATAGCACATTTCTTTTTAGCACTGAGTAACGTTCCATTATACATTGTCCAAGATCATATGGCAAGGTGGAGCCCAGCAGCCCCCTGAACACATGCACCATGGTTTATTTATCTATTCACCTACCAAAGGATATCTTGGCTGCTTCCAAGTTTTGGAAATTAGGAATAAAGCTGCTATAAACATCCAAGTTAAGGTGTTTTTGTAGACAAAATAAAATTTCAATTTTTCAGTTCCTTTGTTTTGGGCATACACCAAGGAACATGATTGCTGAGTCATATGGTAAGAGTATGCTTCATTTTTTGAAAAACCGCCAAATTGTCTTCCACAGTGGCTGTACCATTGTGTATTCCCACCAGCAATGAATGAGAGTCCCTGTTGCTCCACATTGCCTGCTCTCCTTGTAAATCTCCATCACGGGACACAAATCTGAGATGTTACCTGACATGTCTCCTTGTCTCCCCAGCACCCCCTTTCACCTCACAACCATCATTCCCCATGAGAGCGTGTCATGCTCCAGTCCACTCCCACCACTATCCCTTGGGGTAGTTGTCAGAAAGGACCAAAGAACAGAAGTCCCAAGTTCTGAGGTTTTCAGTTCAGGATCCACAGTCTAGGTGTAGGATGAACAAATTAGGAGGGGCCATGACCCACTAGAATCAGTTATCCCCTGCCCACCCCGACGAGATAAAATGCACCCAGGCCTGGAGAGGAGGAGAAGTCTGCAGATGAAGCTGTAGCTCAGTTGCTGGTGTGGGACAGCCCTGAACTCTGCCACCTACTCCTTTGGGCCAAATCTCACAGGAGGGGAGAAGATGCTAAAAGCCCCCAGATAAGTGTGGAGCCGCCAGGACACAGAGCTCCTGGGCCTACACCTAGTGCTGCCAAGGAAGCAGTCACTGGAGAATACGTGAGTGACATGGTTCATCTAGACATGAGAGGCTCAGGGTAGCCCCGACCCCTCCAGTTCCCTGCAGCCCGGAACTGCATGGAAGGACATTCAGGACATTCTCAAGACTCCCAAATGGGGCACTGAAGTTGGCTGGAAGCGGTCATGAGCCAGGGAGAGGTTCGTGGCTAGGACAGCCCTCCCACGAAGGGCATGGGCAGATGCGGCCACACCCAGTGGGTTTCCAGCCCAAAGGGGCCACTCCTGCCCAGGCCGGAAGGGAAGAGGCACAGTCCCTTCCTCACCACTTAGCCTCAACCCAGAAGGTGGGATGGAGAGAAAACCCTGACAGGGGAAGCAAACCTGAGTGTGACAGAGCTCAGCTGAGAGCATCAGGAAGTCCCTGAATAATTATGACTTCAGTAAGAAATCGCTACTGATTGATTTCTGTGCATCAGGCAGAACAGGAGCGCAGGATAGAAGGAAAGCCCAGTTACAGAGAAAGTCAAGTTACATTTGGGTGCATCTACTTTGAACTACAAAATTCCTTCCCGTGGACTACACATGCCTATACACTCATCAGCTGGAAGATCTGGCCTTAAAATGTACACTGTGGTTAATAACACCAGGGATGGCAAGATTCCCAATTATTTTGATATTCTGTGTTTTTGCTGAATTACCAGGACCCCCTTGGTAGCTGGTTTCTCTGAAGTCTCCAGGGAATCATGTCAGGACAGAGACCAGCCTGACTGTCTAATCTTAGCCCACAGGAGTGGATTTGGTCACCTCCTCTCCCCAGGCCAACTCCCAGAATGTTTGGAGATTTCCAGAAGGGTTGTCTAGGCTTAACCTCTCTCTAAACAGCAGCATCCTTCCCTCCACTCACCCATCACTCTAACAACACACATCCCGTAATAAGCAATGGGAAGCATCAGCAAGAGAAGCCAGAGGAACAAACTTACAAATGTGACCTTCATCCCAATTCAGAGATGTGTGCCCTCCAAGGTCTTAACCAGTGACCTCTTGGGACCACATATGACCAACCTCGCACCATCATGGTCAGAGGGCTCCAATCAGGGAGGCTTAAGAGCCATTGGGATCATTTGCAAAGCCCGGCCTTAGGAGAGAAGGCAAATACCAGCACTGCATAGAATTACACATGTGCAGAAGGTGAGGAATCCCAGATCAGACCACTCTATTCTCTCCAGTCTCAAAAGAAGGTCACACAGTCTCCTGAGATGAAAAGAGAACACAAAATAACAACAATAAAGCTATCTTACATCAAGAATTTGTACTCCCAGCTCTATGCAAGTTAATCTTTGCATTTTTAGCATTTCATTCTTACAACAACCTATGAGTAGGTACTTCTATTATCACTAAGTGCCTGAATATCCTGGTTTGCCAGGACAGCCCTGGTCCACGCCCACTGTCCCAACGTGCTTATTAAGAGTGCCAACTTTCACTCTCAATAGTGTCCCCATCTGGATGACTTTAACAGTCACCCTAATTATTATCCCCTTTTGTAGGTGAAGAGACGGAGGTTCAGAGAAGTTAGGTGACCTCCCCTATGTCACACAGCTGGGATGTGGTGGGGCTGAGACTTGGATGAAGTCTGTCTGACTCCAGGGAGAGCCAACTCTCCCTGGTAGTGAGGTGCAGTGAAGAAGGGTACAGCCAGACAGGGGAGGCAGGGGTGAGATTACCACCCCCCCTTTCAGCTTTACATTCCGAATATTTCCGAATAGACGTGTATCCCCTTTTGCAAATCTCCCCCTAAAAATAAAAGCCAATACAGTTTGTGATTGGGATATTCTCACAGACAAAGACAGTGAGCATTAGAAGAACAGAAGGAACACAGTCCAAGGTGTGTAGAGCTCAGGGACTCTCAGCTCTGAGACCATGTGAAGGAAACCACCTCCCCCAGCCTGCTCAGGCAGCATCTGGCCAGGTGCCCCAGAGCCCTGTATGTCTGTGCAGCCCCTTCTGCACCTGCCGTTGGTTGGGGGCTGGCAGAAATGCAGCAGAAAGGGCCCTGCGGGAGTGCCTGCAGCCTGGTGGCTGTTCTCTTCCACTCTTCCTCTCTGAGTGACATCTCTTCATCTGTGAAATGGACCTGGTAATCCATGACCTACCTGCTTCCTGGAGTTCTGCAAAAGGGAACTAAAAGGAAAAGCTGTGTTTAGGGGTATTTTCTAAAAGCCCAACCACAGGAGCCAACCAAGCCATCAGCATCCCTCTACCCAGTGAACACTGTCCAGGCCCTGTGATGTGGTCACCAGGGCCCACATGTCCAGAGCAGGCTCAGCTCAGCTGTGGGGTGAGCGGCAAACAGGGCTCATTTGGTTTGGGGTGATACGTTCTCCTGTTAATAGGAGATTCCCAACCCATTCTTTTTTTAAATTCCCCTCATAGAAGGTGTTGTTTTTTTAACCTTCAAGTAAATTTAAATGTAGTTCCCACCTGGGAGGAAAAGAAAACTGCAGCACTCAGCTCATAGTGTATTGATCATGTTTCAGGCCAGACACTCCAGCTGCAACATGGAAAGAGGAAGTGAAGCTGAAAGGATGGCATTGACGGGGGGGGCCCCATGGCGCAGGAACAAGGGCATGATCCCACTTTCAGCCCCTCCACTGGAAGGTGACCCCTCCCAGCTGAGGCAATGCACACACAAATCACCAAACCTCCCATGGAAAATAAATCTTTCCTCCAGGAGCACCCTCTCCCCTTGCACCCTCTCTAACAGGAGGCAGCATGGCAATTTCCAGAGGAATTTTACTTTGAAATGACAGTGGGACAGAATGGGGGCCTCTGGGCCGCTGCTGGGAGGACTCCATGAGACCTCTCTGCTGAAGAGAGATCCCATAGTTTCTATAAACAGCATATGAGGCTGGGCAATACATGGAACTGGGTTAGGAATCCAAAGGCCCAAGTCTGGAATGTGAAATCTGTACAACTTAACCTCTAAGTCTCAGTTTCCTCATCCATAAAATGGGACCATTAAACCATACTCTGACCGCATCCCAGAATGGTGAAGCCTCTCCAATCCACGAAATGGTGGGGAAACTGAGTCCCATAGGAAGGGGTTTCATGATTCACCTACCCTCCAGCCTAGTGCTTTCTCCTTTATCCCTTCCCCTCTTTTCATACTCTCAAAAAAGATGCTCTGTTACTTTGTCACCAGAACACCATTCTTGTCATATCTGGAGTTTGATTCAAATTAATTTAGACAGAAGGTCTTTGGAGCTATTTTGTCCCCAATGAAGGATGCCCAATTCCTGCCCTCCCCACTCACAGATTCTGCACAGCCTCTCACGTGTCAGTCCACCCTGGGTCACCCCTTCTCACCCATGAGACATCTGAGGTCACACTTGACAAGAATTCCTGGGCCACTGCAAGGGCATGGCTCAAAAGAAGCCCAGTGCTTTTCTCAACTCACCTTCTCAAAAGTGCACCCTTATCCCCACAAAGAAGCCAGGAGAGCAAGGTGATGCCTCCGAGGGATGCCATTTACAGACAACCCTTAGCAGTGACAAGAGCAGGGCGATGACCTTCATAGGAATCCCTCGTAGTCACATTTCAGCCCTGGCCCAAGACAGGCTCCACTGACTCCTGGACATAAATTACTTGTTCATTATCAGGCCCCGACATGGGGAAGGATGTCGGCAGCTCGGTTGTGTCTGGCGTGGTGGCAGGCATTCTCAGGCTGGTCTGCCACTGTCCATGGTGCTGCTTTGTATGGGCCGGAGCTGCTGCCGTCCTCACCAGGCAGGCTCAGGCCGCGAGCCACCCACCAGCTTCGTGTTTCACTCAGGCAGCCCTAGAGTCTTGGGTGCCGGGTGGCAGAGAGAATACACAAGTGCACACAACAGGGTGGCCAGGGATAAATGGAGATGGAAATTCAGCACCAATGTCAAGCCGCAGAGTCTGACTTAATACTTAGAGCCACCACTTATAGAGCCTTTGCTATAAGCCAGGTACTAGGCTAAGTAATTTTACATTAGTTGGGATCCTTTGGTTGCAAGTGACAGAAACCCAGCTCCAACCAGCTAACCCAAAAGGGAAATGTTATGGGCAGTCCCTCAAATACTGAAACCACAGGAAAAACAGGAATGACGCTGGACCACGAGATAACTGGAACCAGGGATTCAAGGGCAATCCAGTGTCTCTCTCTCCTCCTCTCTGCTTCTTTCCAGGTTGTTCTTTTCTTTTTTTCTTTTTATATTTTTAGACAGAGTCTCACTTTATCACCCAGGCTGGAGTGCAGTGGCACAATCTCAGCTAACTGCAACCTCCACCTCCTGGGTTCAAGCTATTCTCATGCCTCAGCCTTCCAAGCAGCTGGGATTACAGGTGTGCACCACCACGCCTGGCTAATTTTTGTATTTTTAGTAAAGACGGTGTTTCACCGTGTTGGCCAGGCTGGTCTTGAACTCCTGACCTTAGGTAATCCGCCCACCTTGGCCTCCCAAAGTGCTGGGATTGCATGCATGAGCCACCACACCCAGCTGCAGTTGTTATTTTCTGATGGGTCAGCTGTACCCCACCCGGGCAAGACCAGAACCCAATGTGCAGCCAACTTCAAGCTTGCATCTTTTATCTTTACAACAGACAGGGGAGAGCCCTTCTTTCTCCAGCTACAGTATAAAATCCCAAGGACAGACTCTGATCGGCTGCATTCAGTCATGTGCTCTGGCCAGGGAAGTGCAGTGCCATGACCTGCAGCCCTGAGAACAACTGGGAGCACTTCCTGGGAGAAGGGAAATGCTCAACTGGGCAGAAAAACCATAAAGTTCACACAGATGTTGCACACATTATCTCATTATTCCTCACAACCATCCTGTGAAATAGGCACTATTATAATACCCATTTTGCAGGTGAGGAAACTGAGACTCAGAAAGGGTAAATTATCTGCCCACTGTCATCCAGTTAGAAAGTGGCAGGGCCAGGGATCAAATCCAGGTCAGCTGGACCCCAAAGCCCAAGCTCTTTGCCTCCACTCATGAACATAGACTTGGCAACTTGAAGGAGACACTGGAAAACCTTCCCAGTCTTAAAAATGCTGAAAGGTCTGAGCTGAGGGTTCGGTTCCTAGACAAGGAGACATGGTGGGGATGGGGAAGGGAGGGCGGAGCAAAAGCAGAGTCCTCGGTCCACAGGCCTGGTCTGTGGCTTCTGGGTTGGGTCTCTTCTTTTTGCCATGAAGGGATGGTTAGGGCAGAGATTAAACCAGAGGAGAAGGTCCAAGCAATAACCCAGGTGAGCTCAGGGGCTTGTGTGGGCTCCTCCACCTTGATGGGGGTCTGCTCCATTGAAAAGCACTTCTCTCCATTGCATGCCTTTCTCCTGCCAGAGGCTTTATGCGTAGAATAAGAGGTCCTCTTGAGAGGTAGCCTGAGAGGCAAACAGGAGAAAGCAGCCCTGTATCTGGCCACTTGTGCTAGAAGGGGAAAAGCTGCAACACTGCCCTATGCCACCCCTCACCCACCAAAACACACACAGCAACAAGAGGCTCTGAGAGCAGGGAAGAGCCATTCCTCACTTTGGCCACGACTTTTTTAGAGATCATTTTCCCCCACCATCCCTCCCTCACCACATCTCTTCTCTGTCAGCTGTTTCGTGGAGTCAGCATTTTACACAATCCCAGAGAGGAGATCAAGTAGGACTAAAGCTCCCATTTCATAGAGGAGCAAATTAAGGCCCAGAGAGAGTATAACTTTCCCAAGGACACACAGCTAGTATGTGATTTTAATATTTTTGTCACCGACATCAACATCTTCTCTTCCCCAGATAAAATAACAATAGTTCAGTAAAACACATAGCAATATTTACTCAATCTCTGTAAAATTGTGCTGGCATCTTTCCCCAGGTGGGGGCTGGGGTGCAGCAGGGGCCCCTCGGGGCTGCCTTTGGTTGTCTGGGATACACAAGGAAGTCTCAAGTGAAACTGCAGTTACCAGGGAGGATTGTAGAGCAACTCGCCTGGGCACTGACTCTAAGGGGAACATGGAGACCTGAGCCTACCAGTGTCCGGGCCAGGAGGACTGAGGCAAAACCACAGAGGCAGCCTTGTCACCGTGCAGATGTGGACGCTGAGGCCCAGTGGAGGGGGTTTGCCTGGGTGCATTCAGTGCGGGCACGCATGTGGTGCTCCTCAGCTCTTTCCGGTGTCCCTCTGTATCCAGAGAAGCCTTCCCTGATCTCCCTGCCAGAATGGACGCCACCTTCCTCAGAACCTCCCCGCGGCCTCCTTACCAGCACTGCATGCTATTCAATGCCTGATGCCTCATTCTCCCTCTGCCAGCCCAAGAACTCCTAGAGGGCAGGATGTGGCTGAGTCTTGTCTGCTTCTCCCCCCAGGGTAGACAACAGTTGCTTAACAAGAATTCGAGATGGCCGGCACGGTGGCTCACGGCTGTAATCTCAGCAATTTGGGAGGCCGAGGCGGGCAGATCACGAGGTCAAGAGATCAAGACCATCCTGGCCAACATGGTAAAAACCCCATCTCTACTAAAAATACAAAAATTAGCTGGGTGTGGTGGTTGTGCTCCTGTAGTCCAAGCTAATCAGGAGGCTGAGGCAGGAGAATCGCTTGAACCTGAGAGGCGGAGGTTTCAGTGAGCTGAGATCATGCCACTGCACTCCAGCCTGGTGACAGAGCGAGACTCCCTCTAAAAAAAAAAGAATTTGAGGAACTGGAGCACCTCTGGGTCAAGCTGCCCGTGCTGAGGGATCCCTTCTCGCTCTAGAAAGGTTACTATCTGGAGTAAAGACTCCCCAGAATCCTGGCTTCAGAGCAGAATTAATGCAGAGAAACCCACCAGTGCCTGGGATGCCCAGGAGTCACCAGGGCCTCAGCTTCCAGGAGCACTGCAGCCAGGACTATGCCTGGCCATCATTCTGCAAGATGGATGCCTCTGCCCAGAAAGCACTGCAGGGCAGCGAGGGCCAAGGGACTGTCTAATCCAACCACATCCTCATCCCTAAGCAGATAAAGCTGTCAGCCCCTCTTCTACAACCGCATCTAATTCCCAGAAGCCAAGCCCAGTGCTTGGCACACAAGAAGGGCTCTGCCAAATTTGCTGAATAAATAAAGAAATGTACCAAAGGACAGCTGAATTGGTCAGGAAGGAAATCTAACATTTATTGAATACCACCTTTGATAAGCTGAGTGCTCCTCATAGCTTACCTCACTTAATACACAACCGCCATCCTCATAAAGAAATGACCCAACCAAAGCTCAGAGAGAAGAGGTGACATGCCCAGTGTCACATCTGACCACAGATGGGGCTGTCCAGTCCCCTTGGAATCTACAGGGAGAATGCCCTGAGGACAGGAAGTGACCTCAGAGGTGTTCACCACTCTCTCTCAGTGCTCTGCACAAGGCCTGGCTCAGAGGAGATGCCCAGCTGTCCTGTGAGGTTGTGGCTGGAGCCATGATGTCACCTGGTTGGTAGCAGGGGGCCGTTCTCAGTGGCAGGGAAGAGACTCAAGCAGGCACGTCCCAGGCTTGGTCCCAGGGCCAGGAGATCTCCTGAGGCAGAGCCCCTCCCCAAGGGCTGCTCCTGCCTCCCCTTCGCTGGCCCTTGTAGGAAGCGCCCTGTGTTGCTGGCAGAGGGCTTCCGCAGCCAGAGTCCCCGGGCCAAGCAAACCCCGAGGTCCCCAAACTTTCCACTTCCATAAAGTGCTCTGATCTTGTCAAATTGCTACCAGAGGAGTCATAGCTGAGTGAGCACTTGCCAGGTTCCCGCGGCTCTCCCGAGAGCTGTCACCGTCCTCATCCATCATAATTGAAGCAGTCCACCTGCTCCGGGCCCATCTTTCAACTGCAATGATGGCTGAGATGCGATAGATGTGTCTTGTCATCACCTTGACTTTTTTTGGAGAATGCAAAGGTCAGTGGGGCTCCTGGGGTGGGTGAAGGTGCTATGGGCCCACCTTAGTGCAAGCCTTGACCTCAGGGTGGAGGGCTGAGTGCCTCTCTCACTGAATGCCAGTCCTCACAATGGCCATCAGCTTTGTCAGGGCCAGAGGAGAGCTAGAGCCTCCCTTCACCCCAAGACCCTAGGTGCCCACACCTGCCTACCATCTGGTTCTGCAGACAGACTCCAGAGGGGCAAGGGAGTTTGGGAGGCACTGGCTTCCAAGATACCTAGACCTGGCTGACCCTAAGATACAAACTTTTACATGTGCCTCCTCCCAGCCCATACCCAGGGTCACAAGCCCTGGATTTGCTTGTCAGGCAACAGAAATAGTTGTCACTGGTTTTCTGACCTCAGGTCCATAAATTCAAGCAATGAGTGTGATTAGGTGCAGAAACACAGACTTCAGGCTGTATTGCCTCTAGGACTCCAGCCCCAGATGGGCCAGCAGAGTCACCTTCCTAAGCAGAGCTCCACCCATTCATGGTCCTCCTGCTCAGAGGCTGCCCAGGGCTCCCTCTGCACGCAGAAGAAAGACGAAACTCCTTGGCCCGGCACTGAAGGCCCTGGGCAATGT
This sequence comes from Homo sapiens, assembly GCF_000001405.40. Taxonomy (NCBI): domain Eukaryota; kingdom Metazoa; phylum Chordata; class Mammalia; order Primates; family Hominidae; genus Homo; species Homo sapiens. The sequence continues at coordinate 36,743,737 of NC_000009.12, read as the reverse complement.
AGCACCAAAGAAGCAGGCAGCTTGAGGAGCAGTAGGTGCTCCAAAAAGAATCAATGCCCACTTCATTTAAGAAAGAAGTTCATTTTGTATCCATCAGAGACGCCCAAGATACAAAGCAATGTCAAGGGAAGAATGAGCTCCATGTCTCCAGAGACTTCAAGTGCAGCTGGATTATCTCCAGGAAGGCTGCTGCTGGGGCTCTAGAATGAGCTCAGCATTCTGAGAGAGGTGGAGGGGTTGAAGTGGGCAGCCCTGTACATCCCTCCAGCTGTGAGTTCTCTGCCACTCCCCCTTCAGCCTTACCTGGCACTGTGACCACCTCCAGCGTTTGCTCATGCAGTTTCTTCAGGCTGCAGGGCCCTGTCCCGCCTTGCCATCTGCAGGCCCCCTACTCAACTATCCTTTGATTCAACAATACATTTTCTAGCACCCACTCTGTGCTGGGGATATGGAGATTATTAAAACATGGTCCCTGTTCCCAAAACCCCAACCAGCTGTCTCCCTCCTCCCACCTGCCAGGCTGCTGAGCACAGGCAGCCAGCATCAGGCGACTGTGCGGGCCAGAGCACTGCTCATTCTACCCACCCCTCCCACTAGGAACCACGGGGTCCTCTTCTGTCTGCGCTCAAGGGTGTGAGCAGGCATGGGGGTTCTGGACAGCGGTGGGGAGGAGCATGGGGTAGCACAGGCCGCAGTTTATGGGGACTGGGGACTCTGCCTGGGAGAACCACAGAGCCCCATAGTCCCAGGTCTATACGGGGCCACTTCTCGACCCCAGAATGCCCTGGGGCCAGGCCCCTAGTCTCAGTCAATTCAGTGATTTCAGCCAAATACCAGTTTATTCTCCTCAGATCTGAGTCACGGCCCCTTGCTTTATCCCAAGAGGTCAGCCCCTAACAGGCAGAGGAATCGGGGCCCTGTAGCTCATCTGTGTTGAGATATATGCGCTTGCACTCTGAGCTCTAATGCCATAATCATCTTGAAAACGTAAGGACCTTCCCTCAATAAGGGGATGTTCACCTGAGCAAATTTATTCTCCTCATTGGTGCTGCATCCTACGCACTCCTGCTTACCTAAGAAGGGTTCTGGGGCCCCAAGGGGTGCCCATAGACTGGGCAGAGGGAGGCACAGAATGGGAGAGGCTGGGACAACAGTCCCCTTCCCTCCTCCCAGTCGTAGTGAGAATCACTTACAGAACAGTCCGGAAGAGTGCTTCTGCCTCTAGGAGCCCCAGATCAGAGCTGTGCACCTGCCCCTTTGGGGGAGGGGTAGGGAAGCTGCAGTTACCAGCTGCCATACCTGTCGGGGGAGCTCAGGATCCATGCAATGGAAGGCATTTTAGCTGATCCCCCTTGGAGAGGGCACTGCAGGTCTGAGCAGAGATTCCCGAAGCAAGGACTGGAGACAAAAAAAAAAAAGATACATGGATGAGAGGGTAGCTCGGGGTAGGAATTTCTTCAGCTCTCTACCCTCTTTCTCCCTATTGACACAATCAACAGACGTCAGTGTTCAGTGAATCTGTCATAAAAAAGGTTCAGTGGCATCTGTCATTTTTCTTAAGACATAAACTCCCCATCCTAAAAGGAGAAGCCTCCATGTTTACTCCATCTCATCCATTGAATCAAACAGCAGAACAAGGGCAGTGCCACAGCTGCCTGACCTTGTGCTGGCCGGAGCCCCTTCTGATGGCACATGCTGTAGGGAACAGGGGCTCCAGGATTGAAAGGGCGACCCAAGGTCCAGTTGGACGGATCCTGCTGGTTGCTTAGTTAGCGTCCCCATATTCGTTTCCCCCTTTAGCCTGTGAAACTCACTGAGAGCAGAGTGAGGCTTGGTCACCTTTACTTCTCCAGCACCTAGCACTGAGAGTATTAGATATTTTAGGCACAATCTCCTGATAGTAGTTATGCCTTAATTTTGTATAGTACTGTGCTTTTAAAAGCACATTCCTATCAAGCACCTCATCTTACCCTTAAATCTCCCCTTTTGTAGTAGTGGGCCAAATATTATCCCCATATGATAGATGAAGAAACTGAGGTTCCGTGAGGTTCGGTTAAGTGCCCACACTCTCCCATGCCACCCCACCTAGAAGCACACGTCTAATCAGTAGCAGCATCTAACCAGGCCCCTGCTCTGAATCTTCTTCCAGTGGTAAATTCTGCCACACCAAAATGACCCAGGCACAGCTAGAAATCTTTGAGAAACACCAAGGCATGGGAAAGTTGCCTGACAACTGTGGTCTGGCAAATGTTATTCTGGTTTGTTTTAAAGGAAAATAAGGAAGATGGCGCAAACTAGGGACCAGTGACCTTGACATCAACCCAGTCAAGACTGACGGTTGTGAGCAGCAAGGGACAGACATCAGTAGGAGGTGGCAGGGCCTGGGTGAGACCTTGGCATCCACATTTGCCAAAGTCAAATGCCCATAGACGATTACAATCAACCATGAAAATCTGTGACCAGGAAGTAGAATTTAATGTAGCGGTGTAGAAACCTTTGGTTTCTATGAGTCCCCTGGTTCTTTCCCTCCCTGCCTGCCAAGTGTTCAATGTTTGCCTTAGCTAACTTCTTTTAGCCATGTCTCTCTCTCTCTGTGTGTGTGCGTGTGTGTGTGTGTGTGTGTAAAATGCTCTAAATTACCCAGTGCCAGCCGCTGCATCCGGGGCTCAGGTCCTGTTTCTTAATGATAACAGATGGCTTTGAAGACGCAGTGGATCAATAGGGTCTGAATTCCTAAACTCTTGACAAGAGCTGGAGAGAACACACATCTCAATGCCCGCCCCACAGAAGCAGATGGAGGCCCTGTCCCTCACAGTCCTTCTTCTTCCATGGTCAGGTAAGCCAAAGGTGGGGCCCCGTGGGGTCACTCCGAGAGAGGGTTCGCCATCCTTGGTCCACTGTGTGGCAGATGGTTGCCCCATGCATTCAACAAACATTCAGCCATCTTATCTGGAAAGGGTTGTGCTTGGTGTTAGGGCAAGGGAGACGGAAAGAGGGAGGAGATGGTGAGGCCTGGCCCCTGTCCTAATGGAACTCAGCACTGTGAAGGAGACCCCACCATACAGAATGATCCCAATCCAGGGTGAAACAATCACCTACCGCTGCGTGCTGCTGTGGGCTGGACGTTACCGCCAGCTCTCAACATGCACCCTCTCATTTGGTCCTCAGCAGACCCTGGAGGAACTTGCTGCTGTCATCCCCAGAAGGGGAGGCCAGTGAGGTCATCTGGCCAGGGCTGCAGAGCTGGTGAGGTGGAAGCAGGATTTGGGCCTGGAATCCTCACCCACCACAGATGGATAAAGCTTCAGAAGAGAGGGAAATTACCTGGGCCTGGAGGGAGGGGGCATGGAATCAGGGAAGATGAGACTTGTGGGCTAGACCCTGGAGGACAAGAAGGATTTGGGGGAAAAGAGAGAGAGAGAGAACAGTCTAAGTAGACCCCATACCTGAAGCAAGGGCAGGGGGCAGGCAGGAGAGGTTCAGGAAATGGAGAGAGGCCACTCAAGAGAAGGACTAGTGGAGGCTGAAGCTGGAAAGGTGGTTCAGGGTCAAATGAGGCAAGCCCAGGGAGGGGAAGGGGATTTTCCTGAGTGGGGAAGAGGGAGCCACAGAAGGTAAGGTCTCTATGCGGGAGAGTCACCACCAGGGCAGTGAGCCCAAAAGAGCAGCCTGCAGGTTGCATCAACCACGAGACTGAATCAGAGAGCGAGGCCAGGCACGGAAGGCCTGGCCTGTGTACCCTGGCTCCGGAGCACCCCGCGTGGCCCCGCAGGTGCCATGGGAGGAGGAAGGGGGCCAGGAGGAGGCAGCCGGCTCCCCTCCACAGGTAAGTGATTGGATTAAGAGGCCTGTCTGACAGGATGTCCGTTCAGCCGCGGAGGCTAATCAACTTCCCCATCCTGTCTGCTAATAAATCCTGCTCCGGGGACCACTCTGCCTGATGATCTGTCCTCGGGGACCGGCGCAGCCTTCTCCCGGAGAACATCCCGCAGTCTATTAAGGCGGCCGCCGCGCGCTGTCAGGCCTCCGTCCCGGGGAGTCTCGGGAGGTGCCCATCACCCAGGTGCGCCCGCCGGGACCCCAGCCTTTGTGCGGCCACCGCGGGGGCTGACAGCCGTCCCGCTCCGAGGGGCCCGGACCCCCCAACCCTGGCGGCTCCGAGCTGCCGCAGGCTCTGCGTGCATAAATTAGGAGGCGGCGATTGTGAGATCTATAATATCTATAGAGAAGACGTATAAATAAATTAAAGCTTTAATTATTTTCTTGGATTCGCTGTAGCGCAAGAGAGCTAGTGGAAAGCTGTCGGGGAAGGGGGGAAGGACTGATTCTCTGAAGCCGCTCTAGTTTTTTTAGCTGCAGTGATTTTTTTCTCTCTTTTCTTCCTTCTGCTCCCCCAACCCCCAAAAGGCAAGAGTTGGGGCGGGGAGACAGTGAAACAATGTCCTTTGTTGCTCAAGATAAAAAGTACATGCCTTTTGACTTGCTTCCAAAACAGATGCCCCCCCCCATCTCCCACCCCCACCCCGACACACGAACACACACCACCAGCTTTCCTTTCTGTGAACACTGTCTATCCCACATTTTTATCAGTTCTGGAAGAACCTCCAAGGGCGTTATTAAATATGTGAAATACGCCAGAAATATTCAAGCAATCCCCATCTGGCCCTGGGAGGGAGGAAGAAAAGACTGGGAAAGTAATAAAGTGTGTTTATTTTTTAATCTAGATGACATGTTTTACATCATTAAAAAGGACAATTATTTTTAAAAATCAGCCTGCACGCTTCGATGGTTCAAGAGGTCTGCCGCCCCAGAATCCATCAGAACCTCACTCCACAGCCAGGCCTGGATCCACCCTCAAGGCCAAGTTACATTTTAAAACATTCAAAACCATGGAGGCAGTTGTGAGTCCTTTAGAAAGGCCTCATCTCTAAGGAGCAGGAAGGGAGGGGCCGTCTTATTACTGAGTCACGTCTTATTACTGAGTCACCTGGAAAAGAGGGTTTCTGATCCCAAGGCTCAGAGGATCTTAAATTCAGGCAGAGTTTCGAAGCTTGGTGGAAGTTAGATGGAGTTTGAAATGGCTGAGCCTTCGCCAAACCACCAATATCTCTGAAACAAAACACCAGTTGTCTCACTATGAAAACCCTGCAGACAGATGGCTCTCCAGAGCTGGAGTTCCCCCCTTTGTGCTGCCACTGGTCCAGGGCCACAGCCTAGTGAGGGGAGCAGCCAGGACATGGTCAAGCCCAACTCCAACAGCAAGCTCCTAAGACGGTTTCTCACCCTGGTCCGTTTCCTCTCTGCCCTGGACACACGCCAAGAGGTCAGTATACTAAAGTGTGGGTCTCTTCAAAAGCACGCATCCCTTTTCACTCAGCAAGTGGATTTCTAGGCATGCAATCCTAGACATGTAATTGTCAGTAATCAGAAAAAAATTATGCAAAGATTAGTCTCAAGTATGTTCACCACAGCATCATTTATGTTTGGTCAAATCACATGAAGTTGCCATTTTTTAAGTCAAGAACAGTCAAATGTTAGAAATTTTATGTTGTTCAGTTTAATAAAATTAAAACATTAAAAATACTTTTGGCCAGGTGGGGTGGCCCACGCCTGTAGTCCCAGTGCTTTGGGAGGCTGAGGTTGGAGGACTGCTTGATCCTAGGAGTTCAAGACCAACCTGGGCAACATGGTGAGACCCTGTCTCTACAAAAAAAAAAAAAAAAAAAAAAAACTTAGAAAATTAGTTGGGCATGGTGTTACACACCTGTGGTCCCAGCTACTTGGGAGGCTGAGGCAGGAGGATTGCCTGAGCTGTGTTTGCACCACCGCACTCCAGCCTGGGCAACAGAGTGAGACTCTGTCTCAAGAAAAAAAAAGAAGAAGAAAGAAGGCTGGGTGCGGTGGCTCACACCTATAATCCCAGCACTTTGGGAGGCCAAGGTGGGCAGATCACTTGGGCTCAGGACTTCAAGACCAACTTGGGCAACATGACGAAACTCCACCTCTAAAATTATATATATGTATATATAAAAAAGAAAGAAATACCTAAATTTCCAATAATAGGGGGTGGTTGCTCCATTTCAGCACCTACTAGAATACCATATGGCTGTTGGAAATAATGTTGCAGAAGTATATTTAGTAGAAAAATAGTTTAGAATTATATTAAATGAAAAATAATGTGTACAGTCTGATCCCTTTTCTTTAAAAATGAAAAAGACATATACAGAGATAATGATGGACCCCAAGATGTTGAAAAGGGTTTTCCCTTGATATTAGGATTGCACATGAGTTTTATTTTCTTCTTTTTGTTTATCTTCATTTTCTGGCTCTTATAACAAATATACACTACTTGTATAATAATAAATATAAGCAATAAAAGTTTTTTTTAAATAATAAAGTGTGGGGCTCCAAGTTGACTGTGCGATGCTGACCAAAGCTGACGAGAGGAGACTGCAGCCCCCACCTGGCCTCCACGGCTCTGTGGCTGGCTGCAGTCATGCCATATGTCTTACCCATGTCCCAGGATGCCGGGACAGGGGTAACAGAGAGGGGTGGCACCGAGTAGTCCTCTTGGGCCAGGTCATCTGGGCAACTGCCAACCCCTCCTGAGCTCCCTGGCTGCCCAGGGTCTGGCCTCAGAGTAGAAGCAAGAGGGGTAGAAAGCACATGGACAAGGATGGTTTTCACTTGAAGAAAAGCAGGATTTCTCGCATCTGAACGTGGCTCCAGAGAAAGGCAGAGTGTAACCCAAGGGTTAGTCATAGATCCACCATGGATTCACCAAGCCTCCAGTCCTCCGTCTTAATGGGGCCAGGTAATATCTGGGCCATACACTGAGGTGTTTTCCTCCATATTTCCTTATAACTTTTGCTCTTGCCTCACTCAAATTGCACAATAGGCAATCAAGTTGTTTCAGCAGAATCAGAGAGAGATTTAAAAGAACAACAAAAAAAGGTATCAGACGAAAGGACTGGGAACAATGCATCATTTGTCAGAGTCAGGTTTTTTTGCTTGTTTGTTTGTTTGTTTTTTCAGCTAAAAGAAATTTAAAACCTGCTGGGCTGGGAGAGAGAACCATGTCAGAGGCGGGATGCTGGAGACGCCCTGAACCCTGCCCTTCCCTAGGCCGAGGCCAGGGTTACAGAGATTACAAAAATCTCAGGTGGATTTGGAGAATCTTAAAGTAGAAGGGTCCTGGGCCTTTTCCCCAGGGGAGCCCACAGAGGATCAAGCCTGGCAGAGTTCCCAAGTGCCAAGTGTAGTGTGGGAGGGACAGAGTAGAAACGGCTGTGTGTGGTGTACCTGAGCAAAGAGGGCCTTGGGAGCCCTGTGGCTTCCTGTCGTGGAAGAGAGAAGCTGGATTCTCCCATGCCCCTTAGCAGCCTCTAAAGTGGGTGAGATTGCTCTCACCTCTGGAGAGGTATGCTTTGAGAATGAGGGATGGTGGAGCAGCAGTCTGGGTCTCAAGGGCTGACAGCAGAGATGAGTGTCTTCCAAAACACAGGCAGCCCCCAGCTCTCTTTTGCCAAGGCACCAAGTGAACCCCCACCCAAAATTTAGACACAATCTGGCAGATGAAGAGGGGGATGAAGAGAGAACCCAAAGTAACCGAGACCACTTGGAATTCTCTGAGATGGCCTTCCTGCCGTGCAGCTGAATGACTCAGAAGAAAAAAATAAGTCCAGGGCTGGACGCAGTGGCTCACGCCTGTAATCCCAACACTTTGGGAAGCTGAGGTGGGCAGATCACTTAAAGTCAGGAGCTCGAGACGAGCATGGCCAACATGGTGAAACCCTGTTTCTACTAAAAACACAAAAATTAGCTGTGCATGGTGGCACATGTCTATAATCCCAGCTACTTTGGAGACTGAGGCACGAAAATTGCTTGAATCGGGAGGCGGAGGTTGCAATGAGCTGAGATCGCGCCACTACACTCCAGCCTGGGTGACAGAGCGAGATTCTGTCTCAAAAAAAAAATATTAAAAATAAGGCCAGGTGTGGTGGCTCACGCCTGTAATCCCAGCACTTTGGGAGGCCAAGGCAGGCGGATCACGAGGTCAGGGTATCAAGACCATCCTGGCTAACATGGTGAAACCCCATCTCTACAAAGAATACAAACAATTAGTCAGGCATGCTGGCACATGCTTGTAATCCCAGCTAATCAGGAGGCTGAGGCAGGAGAATTGCTTGAACCCAGGAGGCAGAAGTTGCAGTGAGCTGAGATTGCGCCACTGCACTCCAGCCTAGGCGACAGAGCAAGACTCCATCTCAAAAAATAAATAAATAAATAAAATTAAATATAAGTCCAGATAGAGAAAGACAAAATCGTCTTCCTTGCAAACCTTGCAAAAGTTTGTGGCCTGAGAATGGGTGAAAAGATGGTAAGGTCCCACCAAACAGCACATTCTGTGGGTGTCTGCTCAGGTGTTCAGGCAGCCAAGAGGCAAGAACGGCCAGGGTGGACAGATGGGGAAGGCAGGCAGACTTGGACTCGGAAGAACCCTTAGAGACTATTGTGTCCAACCTTTTGGCTAAACAGGTGGGGAAACTGAGGCAGAGGGGAACAGGGAGGTGCTTATGGACAAATGTAAACTCATGTAGCACCAGATGCAGGATCCAGCTCTTTCTACCCTCCCAGCACTGCAAGTGGCCATGAGACCAACAGAGTCGGGTGGATGGATGGGCACTGCAGAGCCATCCCTGGGGTTGGGCTGGGCTGGCGAACAGTCCTCCAGTCCAGGCTGCTCTCAGAGTCCGGCCCCTGGGTTGGGGGTCCAGGTGCTCACGTGCACACAGAGCCAGCTCATCCCCTGCCACAGTGTCCTGTTAATAATCGCACTAACTGTCTCCACACCCGTCAGCAGTAATCTTCCACGCAGCCTGCCAGGGCCTGATTTATCAGCATGGAGGGCACGCTCTTAAAGGGTCACAGCCCACCGCGGATCTCCAGCTCCTTTAGCAATAAGTGGCAGAACATATTTTCTCTGCTAACACTACTGTATGTTACAGGATAGATTATTTTAAGAATCCAGACTAAATTGAAACAAGGCAGGCTTGATTTTTTTCCCCCAGAACCATAGGAGAGGGTCATCTATCAGTGTGACGCAGTGGACAAAGTACTAGAGAGTGACTCCAAAGCCCAGGGCTGAGATCTCCATCTAGTACTTATTGGCCCAAGCGACCTTGGGCAAGTCATTTACCCTCATCAAACCTCAGCCTCCTCAGCAATAAAGTGGGAGGGGGGCATCGTCCTCCATCCTAGTGCATCAGAGTCCTACAAATCTATCAGGGAAACACAAACCCACCGATGGGAGAATGGAGAAATATACACATACGTATGGCCTTAAACATAGAAAAAACTGTTCAAAATCCCCAATAATCTTAGAAATACAGATTAAACCTGTTAGAAACCATTTTTTGATAATCAAATTGACAAAGATTAAAAGGTAATAATAAGCCAGCATTGGTGAATGTGGGGAGATATTGGCACTCTCAAACCCTGAAAATATAAATCAGGACAACTTTTGTGCAGGGCAGATTTGGCCTTTAAAACGAGCTTGGCCTTTGACACTGCAACTCCAAACATAGGTACTTGTTTAGAGGATTTCCTGTAATGCCAGCACTTTGGTAGGCTGAGGCAGGAGGATTGCTTGAACCCAGGAGTTCAAGATCAACCTGGGCAACAAAGCGGGACCTCATCTTTGTCTCTACTAAAAATCCAAAAAAATCAATCGGGTGTGGTAGTGCACTCCTGTGATTCCAGCTACTCGGGAGCTGAGACGGGGGGATCATTTGCCCCCAGGAGGTGAGGCTGCAGTGGGCCATGATCATGTCACTGCACTCCAGCCTGGGTGACAAAGACCTTGTCTCAAATATATATATTTGAGACAGGGTCTCACTCTGTCACCCAGGCTGGAGTACAGTGGCTCGATCTCGGCTCACTGCAACCTCCACCTCCTGGGTTCAAGTGATTCTCATGCCTCAGCTTTCCGAGTAGCTGGGACTACAGGCGAGTGCCATGGCACCAAGCTAATTTTTTATTTTTTGCATTTTTAGTAGAGATGGGGTTTCATCATGTTGGCCAGGTTGGTCTTGAACTCCTAGCCTCAGCCTCCCAAAGAGCTATGATTACAGGCATCAGCCACCTTGCCCCGACAAAACCCTGTCTCAAATTTTATATATATATATATGGAATTTGTCTGGAGGAAATAATTAAAGATGTAAAAATTTCAGGAATTTTATTCCAGATTCTGCTTACAATAGTGAAAAAAAAAGGAAACAAACCAAATATCTGATCATTAGGGGCTGGTTAAAGTATGATACAACCATTTGATGGAATATTGTATATCCAGTTAAACACATAGGTTCACAAAACCATTAGTAACACAAAATTATTTGTTGTTAGGTTTTCTAAAAAGAAGGCTACAAAATAGTGTGCAGAGTAAAATCTGTGGAAAAAAATTAGTTGAAAGAAATACTCCAAAGTATTGACAATGGAGTAATGAGATTGATAACTGAGCAATGGGATTGTAAATGCCTTTTATCTTCTTTTTGCTTATATGCATCTTCTACATGCTCTGTGGTAGCCATTACATTTTTAATTTTAAAGCAATAAGTTATTTATGGCAATAATAACTATTCTTTCTCTGTCCCCAGGATGAGAGTGATGAACAAATCAGAGGAGCTGAAGAAACCGGACCACATAGTGGATCATAATGTCACTGCCCACCCACGGGCCCTGCCTCTGTTCTGTGTCCCATGTACTTATTTATGACTCCGCCGGGCCTGATCCTGCACTGTTTTCTCTTACAACTATGTACATGCCCATCTCTCTTGAAGAGGTCACTGAAAGTGGAGACCACCACGTCTTGTCATCATCACCCAGTCAGAGCTTGTCCCAGAATGGCTACCCAGTGAATGAATGTCTGTTGAATTACCCTGAATGGCCGTCCCCTAGAGCTAGACTGCTTTGGAGGCACCTCCCTGCCTGCCAGGTACCTTTGGAGGGGTCTGTTAACCTTGTCGGGGCCAGACCCACAACCCCTGTTCTCAGCACCGTTCCTCCTGGAAGACCACCCACAGCTTGCTGGTCCAGGAAAACCTGAACTACAATCAACCCCTCCTCTGTGGGCAGTGGGTGTACAAAGGCTTTCCTGAATATGTGTTCCCTGGAACTTCTTAACCCAGGGCTTAGGTCAAGGATTCTCAGCCCGCTCTACAGACAAGGAAACAGAGGCTCTGAGAACTGGAATAACCTGCCCACAGTAGAACCACTGAGAAGGGAAGGATCTACTCCTAGACCCGAGTCCAGTGCTCTGACCCCATGCTCACAGCATGCTGCTTAGCTCAGAGCAGCAGAAACCCAGATCCAAACAGATTCTGAAACCTGCAGGCAGTGCTGGCTTTGGTCTCCAGCACCACCATTCACTAGCTATTGTTAAAGCAAACTAAATATGGCCTGAGAAGAATTCCGTCCTTCTTTTTTTTTTTTTTTTTTTTTTTTTGACATGGAGTCTCACTCTATCACCCAGGCTGGAGGGCAGTGGCACAATCTCAGCTCACTGCAACCTCCGCCTCCCGGGTTCAAGCGATTCTCCTGCCTCAGCCTCCTGAGTAGCTGGGATTACAGGCACGCACCATCACGCCTGGCTAATTTTTTACATTTTTGGAAGCAACAGGATTTCACCATATTAGCCAGGCTGGTCTCGAACTCCTGACCTCAAGTGGTCTACCCACCTCAGCCTCCCAAAGTGCTGGGATTGCAGATGTGAGCCACCGCACCCAGCCAGAACTCCATACTTCTATATCTGAGTCCTTGTGGACAAACTGTAACCTAGCTTAACAGGCTGACAAGATTGAAAACCTAACTTAGGAGTATGTGCCTGTAACAACAGCTGAGTTTTGTCCAATCCCAGCGGCATACTTCAACCACTCATAGACCACTAAGTGTTTAAACTGTGTTCAAATAAGGCAAACGCCAAACTGTGAGCAATCAACTGTTTCTGTACCTCACTTTCGATTTCTGTACGTCACTTCCCTTTTGTTGTCTATAAATTTGTTCTGACCAGGAGGCATCCCTGGAGTCTCTCCAAATCTGCTGTGATTCTGGGAGCTGCACGATTCTCGAATCGTTCATTGCTCAATTAAATTCCTTTACATTTAATTCAGCTGAAGTTTTTCTTTTAACACTATGTAGCTTGGAAAGTCACTTTCCTTCCCAGAGCCTGTTTTCTCATCTGTAAAGTGGTCCTAATAACCTCTGTCTCAGAGGGTTCTTGAGAGGATTACATGGCATGGGGAAGCTCCTTGCACAAGATCTAACTCTGAGTATGCAATTTCTCTCCCTGGTCAGATGAACTTTTGACAAAGGGCTGCCTCCAGACATGGCTGCCAGGTTGGGCCTTGTTCTATTTCTCCATGGGAATGGCTCTGCCTTCCTGTGTCCTCAGCTCAGCAGGAGCTGCCCAGGAGGTTGGCCGGCAAACAATGCCACAGCCTCCTCCCTCCCCGCCTCCGCCCCTTACCCAAAAAAGGGTTCCAAATGCCTTCTATAGCTTCTTTCCTGGGCAGAGAGGGAGGGTGGGAGTAATGAGAATAAGAGAGGAGACTGACAGAGTTGGTCTCTGCCATGGGCTTCATCATGGATATATCACCTTCTACAGTGCACTGAATGATGGCCCCAGTATCAGGGTCTAATTCCCAGATTAGACTGTGCACTTACCTTATACAGCAAAATAGACTCTGCAGATGTGGATAAATTGAAAATGAGATAGATGATCCTCGATTATCTGGGGGCAGGGGATAAATACAGTCACAAGTGTCCTCATAAGACAGAGGTAGGGGGAGATGTAACACAGGCAGAGGAAATGGTAGTGTGGCCACAGAAGCAGAGATTGGAGAGATGTGGCCCCAAGCCAGGAACACAGGCAGTCGCCAGGTTCTGGAAGCCACGAGGAAAGGAATCTCCCTTAGAGCCTGTGGAGAGAGCATGGCTCCACCAGCACCTCCGTTTCCACCCGGTGAGACTGATTTGAGGCTTCTGGCCTCCAGAACTACAAGAGAATAAATTTCGGTTGTTTGAAGCCACCAGCTCTGTGGCCATTTGTTACAGCAGCCACAGGAAACTGATACACTCACCCTTCCTGAGTCCACATAAAAGCTCTGTGATCCCAAACTCATAAACCCCAAGGACTAAATAAACCTTCCTGTTAAATCATGAAGAAAGGGACTCACTCTGGGATTACCCACAGTTATTTGACATCATATGTCACCTTCTGAATGCCAGAGGGGCCAGTACAGGATCCAGCACAACCTTGGTGTTCTTGGAGAAGGGTCAGGAAATCCCAAAAGTACTTCACCAGCCCCAGAACCCTGTGCCTGGCACAGCTTAGCTGTGCTCATTTATATGCGGGGCAATATGTTTACTTTTGTTTGAGAAAAAAAAAGGGTCCAGATTCTTTAAAAAAGGACAAAAAAAGGTTTTGTCATGGTCCCAAAGAATGCAGTTTTCGGAAATGAAACAGCAGCAGAATGAATTGCAAAGGCTACTGGGCTAGTCTAATGTCTTCCTATATAGGCCAAGAAACCAATGCCCAGAGAGGGGAAGGAAGGGACTTACCCAAGGACACACAGCCAGTCAGCCAAGATGAAGCTGTAACTTGAAACTTCCAGCTCCTCCCACCCTGACACACACACACACACACACACACACTCACTCACTTGGATTCCGAGTACTCCTCAGTTTGCTAACTTTCATCCTCAAGAAGTTTGTTGCATTAGTTTCCAAGGGCTGCTGCAACAAATTACCACAAACTGGGTGGCTTAGAACAACATCAATGTATTGTCCCGTATCTCTGGAGGCCCAAAGTCCAAAATTAAGGTGTCAGCTAGCCATGGTCTCTCCAGGGGAGAAATCCTTCCTTGCCTCTTCTAATTGCTGGTGGTTCCTGGCAATCCCCGCCATTCTGGGACTTATGAGTGCCTTCACATGGCCTTCCCCTCTGCATGTCTCTCTGGGTCTCTGTCTCCTCGTCTTATAAGGACACCCATCATTGGATTAGGGCCCACTAGCATGACCTCATCTTTACTTGATTACATCTGCAAAGACCCTGTATTGCATTCACAGGTTCTGGGTGGACAAGTGTTAGGGAGGGATGCTATTCAACCCAGTATACATCTATTTATGCTCTTTATCTAGACAGATGAGGATCAGGGGTTTGAAAGCCCAGCAATAGCCTAATAATTAAACATCTGAAGGCTTTTCTCTGTGCCCCTCTCTGTCCTCTGTATGGTAGTAACCTATGGCCAGTTCTTTGGCCCTATCTAGCCTGTGCATTTTTTGCAGGCAAACACTGTGTCTCCAGCCCCCTAACATAGCCCAGACACAAAGGAGGAACTTGGAAGCATTTGCTGAACAAATGAATGAAATGAGACATTTGGAAGCACAGCCCAAAGAATGTAATTTCCAGAAGTGAAACAGCAGCTAAATGAATTGTAGCAATGTTGGCGCTCACTTCTCATACTCTTGTAGCCTCCTGCTTTCACAGTGGGCAACTGACTTGCTGGGAGTCCAGCAAATTTCCGGGGAATCTCCCTGTGGGAGTCAGGAACAAAGCTGGCATTTGGCAACTGGCCAGCAGGGGGCAGGATGGTCTCAGGGACAGAGCCCCAGAGGCTGGAGCTTGGCTCCACTTACCCAGCAAGCAAACCCTCCCAGAATCAGAGCGTTTCTGATTGCAAGGACTCTGCAACCTACTCTGACTCCTCTTTGTTCTTCTTTTATTTTCCCTTTTTTTTCTCATTAGGTCAGTACCAATGAGTCTTCTTTGAACAGATAAAGAAAGTGAGGCCCAGACAGGGGAAGGGACTCTCCCAAGCTCAGAGAGAGTTGGGATCCATAACTCCAGACCCCATTCCCTGGGCCAATTCTAGTACTGCCTGCAGGCTTCGGTCTCCCTGGGACCAACTCTAAACAAACAAAAAATAAAAGAGCTTATCAATGAAACTTGGGTCTTTTTAAAGGGGCTGCCCCCTGACTCAACTAAATATACACAATGTATATGCTCCGACCTGAGGATGCCACTTCCAGAAATGTAGCTTACATGCACACAAGGATGTTCATTGTGGCGGTGTTGATAGTAGAGAAAAACTGGAAGCAACATAAAAATTGGAAACAACCACTACAGGACTGCTTTAATAAATGATGACACAGCCAGGCCCAGTGGCTCATGCCTGCAATCTCAACACTTTGGGAGGCCAAGGCAGGTGGATCACTTGAGGTTAGGAGTTCAAGACTAGCCTGGCCAACCTGGTGAAACCTCATCTCTACTAAAAATACAAAAATTAGCCGGGCGTGGTGGCGGCGACCTGTAATCCCAGCTACTCAGGAGTCTAAGGCTGGAGAATCGCTTGAACCCAGGAGGCAGAGGTTGCAGTGAGCCAAGGTCACACCATTGCACTTCAGCCAGGGCAACAGAGTGAGACTCTGTCTCAATAAATAAATAAATAATGACATATCTGTTTTGTGGAATACTGTATAATCATTAAAAATAAATTTTTAGAAGAATATGTATAAAGAAAAAAATTATGCTAGAAAACTGAGGAAATAATACATATTGTACATTCCTAATATTTTAAAATTCCTTGTGCATATAAAATATAATTTGTGGTTCCAGAGGTACTCACTATTTAGTACTAATTTTCTATATATGTATTTTTTAAAATTAGACCTTACAATATTAAAATAAATATATTAATTTTAAATTAAATATATACATAGTTTTATATACACACACACGCACACACATGCACATGCACGCACACACGCACACACACACGCTTAGACCTTAGACCTGGGTAAGTGTGGTCCATGCCTTAGATCCCACAATTCAAAGTGTTCGGCATTTCATAAACACACATAGGCAAATAGTTATTATGAAGACAGTCACTTCTGTTACTTGCGACCTGGTGTTCAGTGCTGCATAGCGTAACCCTAAACATTAACTTGGGACTAACATCATCAAGACCCAGGAGATGTGTCTCCAGGTCTTGTCCTCTGTCTTTGAGACAAAAGGGACTGAATCCCAATGCCACAACACCACGTGGGCTGTGCTGTGGCTGACATCAGAGATGGACGACGCTTCAGAGTACAGGGAAAATTTGAGCAGTGGACGTGCTTAAGCATGTAAGAGAATAGACAAATTAATTTGTCAAACACTTCCTCTCAGGTAGCGTGGAATGCAACATTTTCTTACATAACAAAGTATAGTCTCCCAGCAGTGCCAAGTGTCCATTTCCTTGCTTTTCTTCATGTTCTAATTCATGGTTCCAGAGGAACCTAACAGCTGAAGACTATTCTGCAATAGCAAACGATTCATTGCACTCTTAAATTTCCCTGCGTGTAGGTCCAGACATAATATGTATGAAGTATATCAGTTCTTTACATTGACAACTATAGACCCTGGATCCTGGCCATTCAAATAGCATAGAGTTTTGCTATTTTTAATACCTAATGGAATGTAATCAAACGTTTTTAAAAAATTTTAATGTCTGCTTTACAGAAATAATTTTCATCTAAATTTTTAAGATTTACTCATTGTAATTTGAGTTTTGCCTTTTGGTCTTGACAGATAATTTTGAATGTTTCAGAAGAAAATCTTTCTTAGAAAAAATGATTTAAATATTAAATATTTAAACATATGGTATGTGGAACTCCAATTGTACCCTTGCCCTGGGCCCTTCAAATGTAAGATCTAGGCCTGTGTTTAGAACACAGATTCTAATAGAAAATACACCAGAATGTCAAAGGAAGTTGACTCTAGATTATTGGATTGCTGTGATTTTTATTTTATTCTTTTGGATTTTTGTCTATGTTTCTAGATTTTCTAGTATTTATCTAGTCATAAAAAAATGATAAATATATATTTTCAAGTGTCGCATCAGCCCCCAGCCTCCTCCCGACGTGAAATGACTTTCTACCCTCAACCAGGGTCCTGGGACAGGTATCTAATTCTGCCCTCATCCCCATGACCACTCCAGACTTTCAGCAGGAGGGACCCCAGGGGTAGCTCCTCCCTTGGCCCACACTGAGCACTTCCCCCCTTAGCTGGCACCACAAGGCTTCAAGGCTTCACATAATGAGGTACAGAAAGCGGGCCCTCGATGCTCTGTGGATCACGCTCTAAACAAACAGTATTCTCAGCCTTGGGTTTCCCACCCTCCTGCCCCACCCCCGCGAGCATTTAACTTAGTGCTGCTTTCAGGACTAGGTAGAAACTGGCCGCCCTCCCTGGAGTCTGTGCTGACCTCACATCGTCCACAACAGGGTAGAAATGCCCCACCAGCTGACCTTTCAGAAGCCTCCTCTGGAGGCTAATCGGGCACACTGGGTGGGGGAAGGTGCCGTCATGGTTCCACGGACTGGTTCTGAGGCCTAGCAAATGGAATTTTCCCACATAGGGAACCCACAATGAAGGGGAAAACTGCATGTGTCCCTTTGTGAAAAACTAGTAGGAACAAAGATGGAGAAGGCAGGACGTTCTCCCTGGCTCCCATTCAGGCCCAGCAGTGCTCTGCAAGGAGTGTAACCTGACACCTGGAGCTTCCCCTGCCTATCCCACCCCAAGCACCACTCCCACCCATCCCAGTCTGGCAGTGAGTGGCACTCACCAAGGGAGAGTTGCATTCCCTTGGCAGACCATATATCCAGAAGGAAGCCCTTCCTGCAATTGGGAGAGGGGGACTTGGCCACCATGGGGGACCCAACAGAGTCCCTGAAGGTTGAAGCCAGGAAGGCCTCAGAGCTAGAATCAATCCCCCTGTTCACACCAGAGACACAGAAAGCACAACTGACTGGCCCCAGGTCCCAGAGCAATCATGTGACCATGTAAACCAAGAATTTTCTCTTCTGGCACCCCATACAGCCTGGAACTCTCCCTCACATCTGACATTTTAAATTGAACATAGGATACCTGCCACAGTCTTCAAGGAGACATACTTAGACCTCAGGAGTTTTTGGAAAAGTGTCTCCACCCAGAAGCCTGCACTGAGCTGCAAATTGAGCAGTGGCAGAGGCTTTAATGGCCTTATTCACCACCATAGCCCAGAGGTTCCCAACGTGGTACCTGGTTCATCGATTCTAAGGTGGGTATTTTTTTTCACATGTTAGTATCTCTGAAATTGAGATATAACTTGCAATCCATCATAAGTCAAAGTGTAATGGGCAGCATTCTTTCCTTCATAGTAGGCCAATCATTGTTCAGTATACAATTAATTGATGGCATCTTACATTCAATGAAATATGAGAAAATAGGGTCATAGTGGCCAAAACATATTTGTCAAATAAATAAACATACCAAGCCCTATGCTAAGGTTCTACATGCATTATCCTTTTTACCCCTCCCCCAAATCCTCCTATGAAGGAAATATTATTCCCATTTTATATATCAGAAACTAAAACCAAGAGCAATTAAAACCCTTGCCCCAGATCACACAGTAACGGTAGAGCCAGAATCAACATCCAGCTCTAGGGGTCATAGTTTCTGCTGTAACCACTGAGAAATCGAGCCTTCCAATAGAATGCAATTCCCTTGTTGCCAAGTAAAGTATGGTGACCAACCATCTCGGTTTGCCCTGGTCTGAGGGGTTCCTGGGATATGGGACTTTCAGTGCTAAAACTAGGATAAACCAGGGTAATTGATCACCTGATCACCAAGATCAAGAGTCCCTCACTCCTCCTGCCCATCTCTGCCTGCTCCCTCCGCATGGCCTCCACCTCTTCCAGGACCTGCACCTGTGAACAGGCCTCCACCCCAGCTCTTGGGCCCCTAGGCCTGGCAGGAATTCCCAGGGCTTGGGTCCCTCTCTGAATGAACGGCCCCTCCACTCTTCTGTGCCAAGGAAGCTGCCAATGTCCCTCTTTCTCCAAATGTCTCTCACCAGTGGGTGCCAGATCTAGATGTTCATTGGACCTGCTAGGCTCTTCCCACAGCTGATGGAACATCTGGCCAGGTTTTCCCACATCTTCATTGAAATGATGGACCAAGCTATGGCTCCTTAATTCCCATTTCACACTGCTACATGGATTTCAAAGTTGCTCAATGTTCTCAGGTTCAGGAAGGCTGCTAATATTAGCACTTTTGGACCCAGATAGCAAGAATCCTTTCCTGAAAGAAACTTCTCAGCTCCTCCATCTGAGACTGCAGGAATCCAGACAAGGCCCAGGTTTGTTCAGAAGGCCAAGTTGCTGTTGGGCAGTGCTTCTCAGTGGAGTCCCCAACCCAGGGCTCTTATTACAATGCAGATTCCTGGGCCCTGGCCCAACTTGATAAACCAATCTCCAGGGATGGAGCTCAGATGTCTGCAGCTGCAGGTGGTTCTGATACATGCCGAAAGTTATGAACCACAACTGAGGATAGTTTCAGACCATCGCATGGCCCCTGTCTCATGCTTCACCTCACTCCAGACCCTCCTGCAGCTGGACCCATTCAGGGACATCCAGAATCCTAGTGCCCCCACCACTGGGACCCTCGACCTCAGCCCCTTCCTCTAGAGCCTGTCACTGCTGACCCACAGTTGGTCAGGAGGTATCCAATAGCTCCATTCCTATTCAGGGGGATGGCTATGGCCCCTAGGAAGAGCCTGCAGTCCTGCTAAAGTACTCACAGGGGCAATTCCTGGAGCAGAGCCATACTTAACTCCATGCAGGCAGCTTACACACCCCTCCCGAATTCCCCACCTCTCTACCACGCCTCACCTGCCTTGCCTACTGTACTCTCCCCTCTCCTCACCTGAAACACTCCCAGGGCTCCCTGAATTCAGGTCTTTGGGGACTCCCTAGCAGTACCTGTCCATTTTACATGAGCAGTTAATAGATGGATATATGCCACTCCACCCTGACCACAACTCCGGAAATACAGAGGTGGGGGCTGGATTTTGCCCTCGGCTATATCCCCAGTGCTTAGTACAGAGCTTGGCACATCGTAGGAAGCTGAAAAATAATTGTGTAAATGCACATATAAATAAATCCCCACATGATCCTACAAAGCAAGAACTATTGTTATCCCAATTTTTACAGCTGAGGAACCGAGGCATAGGTTAAGGAGTTTACTCACACTGCGTAGCTGCTAATCGGTGGGACACAACTGGAACCCACCTGGGGTCCCAGACCTGCAAACTCTTATCCACCACACCAGTGCACCCCTGGGAGAGTCCAGGAGCAGGCAGACCTGGGTCTAGTTTGGTAGCTTGTTTGCCTTCTGTCCTGAGTCTGGGCAACATCACCACTTATAAAATCTCACTTCTGTTCTTGCTTCCATTTCCAGGCTTCCATTTCCGCTTCTCTTTCTTTCTTCTCTCCCCTCTCTCCTTTCTCAGATGTCCCCTGCCCACTGGGTCCACAACCTGATAGAGTCACAAAGGCCCAGTGAGCCCTTCATAGGGAACTTTTCAGAATCAAGATAGAGTCATGCTGGAAACAGAAAAATCCCAGCATCCCACCCAGCTGAGTCAGAGAAACAGAGGCCAATAAATATCTAAAAGAATGGGTGCTTTTAAAGAAAAGTCTGCCTTCACTATGAAAGAAAAATAAACAGAGGAAAAAGCAGCTCCTGAGGATGAAGAAAATGAATATTTGAAAAACTTGGAGAAATAGATATAATAATGATCATTGGAAGCTGGCTTCCACCCTTTACAGCAAATCCTGATGAGATGCATCCTGAAGTGTAAACAGATTTGAACAATAAACTTATTGAACCATATACAATTATTTCTGGAGAGAAATGGATGAGCGGTTGGTTAGACAAATGGAAGAGGTGTGAATGATTCTTAACACTCTGATCTGGCAAAATGGTCCTTGGAAATTAATGGAACAAAAAATTATACCGGGGAAGAGAAGCATCATCAGGAGAAAGCACTAAACATAGGAAGCATGAAATGAAAATGCATTCTTATGAATAAGAGAATTAATGAAATGAATTTAAGAAAAGGTCAAGTTGGGGAGAATATCAGATGGGCTGCAGCTCCACAAATCTTCTAAATTTACTGTGGCATTTGAAGCACAGGACTTTGGAAGTATAAAGTCCCTGAGAAATCATCCCTTCCATGCCCTTTTTCTATAGATGAGAAACCTCAGGTCCAGGGAGGGTGAGTGACTTGCCCAAGACCACACAGCTAAGTGGGTACGGGTCCTTATGCTGCATGAATGCCACATGTGGATCAAGGGAAGTTGTGTTTCCATTTTCTCTGGGCTGTTTTTAGCGACAGTTGCCATACTTTAGACTCTAAAGTATAGTTTATTGCCCAATAAACTATTAAGCTTCAAGCTCTGAATAGACATGACCTAGGACTTGCCCAATCAGCAGAGGTCTAGACAGGCTCAGGCAGTGCATGCCCCTGCTAAGAACACATGGTCACAGTTCTTTAGATCCTTCAGATTAAACTGCCTGTTTTGACTAAATCAACTAAACAGCGACCTCCTAGTTCAGATTCTGGCATGCTCATGGCTCCTTCTCCATTCTCTCATCAGGATCCATACCTCCTTCCTCTAACGTCCATGGCTCCATGTTGACCAGTGTCTTTCTGGAATATTACATGTGCCTGTATGTCAAGTGGCAGCAACTGAGGTCAGGGGCCGCCTTTTCTTCATCCCCAATGCCTTTCGCAGCACCTAGCTGAGTACCTGGCAGATGGCCAGGGCCCAGAGCATTCTTGAAATGAAATAGTTGTGTGAAATATGGCGCCGGGCCAAATGGACTGAAAGGCCAAATTTTCCAGCAGTAGCTTTATTGCCTTTATATGCCTATTCTTCCTAAGGAAACCCAGGATAGCATCTACCAAAGGACTTGTAGTAAAGGGTACTGGACTGTGCTCAGTCATGGGCTTGGAGTTCCTGGAGGGCTGGAGGGGAGAGAGGCTTCTCTTTGGTGATGGATGGACCCAGGGTCAAACTCCAGTTCTACTCCTTACCACCCTGGGCTTCATTTTCCTCATCTGTAACAAGAAGATCATAGGATTTACCTTCCAGAATTGTAGTGGGATTTATTTATTTATTTATTTACTTATTTATTGAGATGGAGCCTTGCTCTATTGCCCAGGCTGGAATGCAGCAGTGCCATCTCAGCTCACTGCAACCTCCCCCTCCCAGGTTCAAGTGATTCTCCTGCCGCGGCCTCCCAAGTAGCTAGGATTACAGGCACACGCCACCACGCCTGGCTAATTTTTTTTTTTTTTTTTTTTTTGAGACAGAGTCTTGCTTTGCCACCCAGGTTGGAGTGCAGTGGGATGATCTCGGCTCACTGCAGCCTCCACCTCCCGGGTTCAAGCAATTCTCCTGCCTCAGCCTCCCGAGTAGCTGGGACTACAGGCATGCGCCACCATGCCCAGCTAATTTTTGTACTTTTAGTAGAGACAAGGTTTCACCATGTTGGCCAGGCTGGTTTCAAACTCCTGACCTCAGGTAATCCACCTGCCTCGGCCTCCCAAAGTGCTGCGATTACAGGCATAAGCCACCACGCCAGGCCTAATTTTGTATTTTTTTGTAGAGACGATTTTTCGCCATGTTGGCCAGGCTGGTCTTGAACTCCCGACCTCAGGGGATCTGCCTGCCTTAGCCTCCCAAAGTGCTGGGATTACAGGCATAAGCCACCATGCCCAGCCTTGAGTGGGATTTAAATTTGACGATGTGCAAAGTACCTGGCTCGTAGTAGGCCCATAAATACAGTAGCTTCATTCTCAATCCTGTTTTGTTTGTTTCATTTTGTTTTGTTTCGAGACAGAGTCTCACTATGTCACCAGGCTGGAGTGCAGTGGTGTGATCTAGATTCACTGCAACCTCCGCCTCCCAGGTTCAAGCGATTCTCCTGCCTCAGCCTCCTGAGTAGTTACGACTATAGGCATGCACCACCACGCCCAGCTAATTTTTGTATTTTTAGTAGAGATGAGGTTTCACCATGTTGGCCAGGATGGTCTCGATCTCTTGACCTCGTGATCTGCCAGCCTTGGCCTCCCAAAGTGCTGGGATTACAGGCGTGAGCCACCGCGCCCCGCCTCTCCATCCTGTTTTAAAGGGACGTGGTGAGATAGAAAGTGGCTCAAGCTTCAGAGCTAAGCTGACCCAGGCTTGGTTTGGAAGCCTCCTTCTCCACATACACTTGTTTGACTTTGGGCAAGTTATTTAATATCTGCTGGCCTCTGTTTCGTCATCTGCAGAATGGTTATAATAGTACCTATCTTATGTTTTTCAGGGAGGATTAAATGAGTTTAGTAAAATGCTGAGACTATTGCTTGGCAATTACTTCTAAACAAGAGGGCACTAGTATTATGCTCTTCCTTAGTCTGGGGTGTGGTATCTACCAGGCCCTCAATTAGGGTCGGGCTTTGTGGTGGGCTCTGTGGATTTGGGGTCTCGGCTGAGAGAGCCCGCCAAGACCAAGGGGCAGAGGCTCTGGCTAATTAATGGTGGGAAGCCTTCGGTCCAGTCAGCACCGCGGAAAGCTCAACCATCGCTGTCACCTGGATGTGGAGTGGTTCCAGAGGTTCACGGTCCTATACTTTCCAAGGGATTCCTAGCACAGATAACTTTAAAGGAATTAATTTCCTAGTTCTCAACCTCCATATCAACTCTTTCCTAAAACTGATCTGCCTGTGGTAGAAACATCATGCCAGTTTTCTACTCCCACCTCCCCATCCGTAATCACCTTCTTTTATGGTACAAAGAGACTCCTCTTTGTACTTTATGTCTTTTTCACACTGAATCTTATTACTGTGCATTGTCCTGTTGAGTCAAAACTTTTGGGGTCAAATAAAGGGACGATTCCACAAATGTTGTTCTCAATGTCACCTTTAATCATTATAACCACGACTCCCCAAATCCAGGGCCTCCACAAACAGCAGTGCAGGTTGTCCACTGCAATACTCCAGGGGTTGCTATTTACATCATAGCCGATGTGAATGACTTTCTGGAGTTTTGTAGTGCACAGCCTTCCTGGCTGTATGACAAGATTCTGATCCCATCCATATTATTAAGAGAAACATTCTCAACAAAATTTAACTGTTTAATAATTATTCATTAAAATTTGCAGTACATCCATCTTATTTTAATCAAGTTTGTATTACTAATAGTTGAAATGATAACTCAATCCAAAAGAATTTTTAATACTTAGAGGCTTGCATTCATAGGAAATAAAAAGTTCAATTTATATACATCTTTTTGTTGTGGAGAAGTATGATAGGAAAATCAATAAAAGACTTTCAAGCATAAAAATACATTACATTAGGATAAAATTCTGTGGGGGAAGTGGATTGGAAATACAATTTCCTACTGTTAAATAAGATCTCATTCGTGTATTTTTTAAAAGGATGACTGTGGGTATCAAATTGTTATGATCTCTGTATTTTATTGGACACATTTAAAACAGAAATGCAAGAGTTTTATCTCACAATGTCTATATTTATTATATGCCAGACATTACTTCCTTTATAATTATTTTAAATTGTTATAAAATATTCTAAACATCAATTTAAATGTTCAAGAAGGGACATAGATTTTCAAAATTGTTTTAGGCTGCATTGAGCAAAAATGGTTAGCCCCACTTGATGTTGTCAACTCCATTTTCAACACTAGCCTACCCCAGCAACTGGAGGCATCCTCTGCACAGAAAAAAAAAACATATTCTCTTTTGGATGTGTTTGTTCTTTGCTTCTCTTTAGACCCTGCTCAGGCTCAGAGGTAGAGACATTGCTATCTGAGAAAGATGGTCTTTGGCTACCAGACCAGATATGCCTGGAAGTTTGCTGTCATTCTTTTCCTTGCTGAAGAACTTGGGTTTTCTTCTGTGTAACCTTGGGCAAGTGCTTACCTCCCTTTAGGCCCCAGCAATCTCCCTGTCAGGCAAACGAAGGGGTTCAATCAGGCCTCTTCCCACACAAGCCCCAGGAGACCCAGGTGGTGGTTTGAGCTGGTTTCCCCTTCACCCAGGCTCCCTCACTGTGCAGCTAGTACCACACCTGGTACATAGTAGGCCTACAGTAAACATGCCTAACCATGTGACAACCCCAAGCATAGAGAGATCTGCCTTTTCCCAATGGAAAGGTCCAGAACAAAGCTTTTGATCAACTTGCATGTATAAACTTTTAAAAATATAGATGAGATAATCAAAGTTCTACTTAAAATATTTAATTAATTTAAAATTTCAGTTATACATACATTTAAATTCACTCACATGAAATACGTTAACACACCAATGTAGTCATAAATTAATGTGTTAAACAGAAGTTAAAATACGAATATAAACTCTTTGGCTAATCACAAGTATATTTAGAAACATTGCTTTTTTTCCATGTTCACATTTAATTCATGAACCAATTGTATTCACTCCTCATGTACATCTTTGACATTAGTATCCTTGTCATCACTAAAAGCCACTTCTCGAATCATCTAGCACAGCTTTCCGGAGCACATCATCTTCACTTCCATCTAAGTCATTTAAGATACAGGACGTTTTGCATCGTGGATGATGCTGTCACTGGAAATGATACTCCTAGCCCCAAGTACCCATTCGCTATTCACGAGCTCTGCAAACGAACCACTTAGTGTATTGTTTTTTAAAGGGATCGTTAAAAGGCTTGTTTACAACATCCAACACTTGCAATCATAAGGAAAAATGACTAAATCTATGCTTCGTGTTTTCATCTCCATTTTTGCTCCGGTAAGTGACCTTTATAAGCATTTGAAACATAGGATCGATTGAAGTTACTTTGGACTAATACACTGTTCCCAAATAGTGCTTTGTGGGTCAAAATTAAGTGATTGAGAGTAAGGTCTGTAACAGGAGGGATTTGGTAAGGACGTGAATGGAAGGTAAATCCCTCTTTTTTGGGACATAATGGGTGAGTGGATGAAGTTGAAAGTTGAAGTCTTTGGCTAAATTCAAGAGCCCCTCTCCCAGGTTGAGGTTTATGGAGGGCTGCCCTTGAGGGTCCTCAGTGTCCTTCATTGGAATCTCTCCTGACTGACCTATCCATGTACTGGATTCCAGTTTGGGCAGAGAGAGAGCCCAGTGGTAAGGGCTGTAATCCCTACCCAGTCCCCAGCCAGGGAAAGGAAGCCACGTTGACCTGGTGCAACGTCTGTACAAACAGTGCACCAAGGCTTCTCTGCTGCCACCCTGCTAAGTCTCCCAGCCAGGCCGTGAGGTGGGTGTTTATGTGCATTTAGCCATGAGGAGATTAAAGCTCTAGATATTTTTCAACAGCATTTATAGAGACATGAAAACCCAGCCAATAATTAGTCTCCCTGGTGGTTACAAACTTTTGCCCAGTGACTCAGAGCTAGCTTTGGAGTTAGACATCCCAGTTTAAATCTTTGTTCTTCTACTTAGAAGACACATGATCAGTAGCAAGTCATTTAATCCTTCTGGGCTTCACTTTTGTGCCTATAAAATTGGGATGATAATGCCTGCCTCATAGGGTGTCATGTGGATTAAAATAATAGTTCTTAGCCCAGAAACCAGTATATCTTACACACTGCCAGTAAGAACCTGGAGCCAGGTGACCCATATGCTGAGGGTAGAGAACTGATATGGTTTGGCTCTGTGTCCCCACCCAAATCTCATCTTGAATTGTAATCTGAATTGTAATCCCGAGGAGTTGAGGGAGGGACCTGAGAGGAGGTGAAGGGATCATGGGGGCAGTTTCCCCCACGCTGTTCTCATAATAGTGAGTGAGTTCTCATGCGATCTGATGGTTTTATAAGTGTTTAACAGTTCTTCCTTCACATTCTCTCTCTCTCTCTCACCTGCCACCATGTAAGATATGCCTTCTTCCCCTTCCGTCATGATTGCAAGTTTCCTGAGGCCTCCCCAGCCATACAGAACTGTGAGTCAGTTAAACCTCTTTTGTTTATAAATTACCCAGTCTCAGGTATTTCTTTATAGCAGTGTGAAAACAGACTAATACAAGAATGTAATATACAAAGAGAACCAATCTCTCCTTGGGAGGACACAGCTTTCCCTGGACAGCAAGTGACCACACTGTTTATCTTTGCACATGCAAAATTGCAAGAAAGAAGATAAGCTTTAGTTCTAAACTAGCCACCCACCGAGACACAGCGCCAGTGACTATAGCAAGGGTGTCAGCATGGGACAAGCATCTTAAAAATTATGTCCATGGCTTGTTTCTCTTATTATAAACAAGATACAGTTCATTTTACAGAGGAGCAAAAACCACTACAATCAACTCTAATTCCCAGAGATGACTTCAGTTATTTTTTTGGTATAAATTCTTCTAATTCTTTCTGTGTTGTTGGCTGGTGTTTCATTTGTTCACTCTTTTGGTTACAATCATACGTTCATATTTTCCATATTATTTTGCAACTTGCTTTTCTGACCTAACACTCCATGAACATCTTTCTATGGCATTAACTATTATTTCACATCATTTTAATGATTACATAATGTTCAGTAGAATTGGTTGTGCCATGCTTTTTAAAAACCACTCCCTTTGTTGGAGGCTTTTGAGTTTTCATTTTTCCCATTACAAATACAAAGTCCACTTTGAATTTTATGGTGATTAAAGCACTTGTTCCCATCGCTTTGGATTTCTTATTAACTTAAAGGGAAAACAATGTAATAATCACTCTCCTCATTTGACAGATGAGAAAACTGAGGCTCACAAAGAAAAAGTGGGTTGCCCAAGGTCACCTGGTAGCTGGTAGAGCAGCATCCAATCCAAGTCTTCTGGGCTTCCAAACCAACCAGATTCCTGACTTTCCTTTTTTTTATCATGGAGAAATGAATACTCCAAAGGATGCTTATGTCTTTTCCTCCCCAGGAGCATCTGGGTTTAAATGGACCACGTAACACAATTCAGAAACTTTGACTTCTCAATGCACTGTAGCCCCTTGTCTTCTCTCAATCCTGTCAGCCAGTTTTGTTTTGATCATTGTAGTCACTGTGTCATTATTTTCTTGTTTGTTCAGTTGTATTTTGGCTGTTACAGTGATTGGGAGGGAGAGGGCGACTGGGATACTAGACATCCTGCAAGGCATGGATTGTGTTCAATTTACACTGACTTTTCCAGGAATGTAACCAACATTTAGTTTTTTAGTTTCGTTCTGTTTTGTTTTCTAGAGACGGGTCTTGCTATGCTGTCCATGCTGATCTTAAACTCCTAGCCTCTAGTGATCCTCCTGTTTCAACCTCCTGAGTAGTGGATCTACAGGTGCATGCCACCCTGCCTGGCTCAGTTTTTCTTTTTCTTTTTTTTTTTTTTTTAAGATTATTTTACTTCCTTCAACTCAGAGTTTTGTCATTTCAGAAAATGAAGAAATACCATGGTATTTGAGTCACTGATTCTCTCCCTCTATCGGTCTGCATCTGTGTCTGTCACATTGAAGGCAATTCTAAGTATATTTACCAATGTACTTTTTTTAGCCCTTATTTCAAAATGTCAAAGATAAAGAGAAAATGTCATCAACATTCCGTAGGATATTATCTTTCTTCTTACATTCAAACACTCAATATAAATAAGTGTAAATGCCTGAGTTCTTCACCGTGCTTTCTCATGTAGTTACGACCAAACATTTGCATATTGAAATCCATATTTTTAAAAATTTCTTTCCTTTTATTTCTCCACAGGGTCCAACTGTGTTGAGAACCACTGGCTTGGTCTGCCTCCCCCACTAGAACACCAGGTCCATGAAGGCAGGGCCTTGTCTGCCCAATTCACTGCCCCAGCCCTTAGCATTCAGAAGAGCATGTGATGAAAATCAGTTGAACAAAGGAATGATGGAGGCATTAAAAGATTTTGAGTGAGGAAGATATTTCCAGGCAGAGTTCAGCCTTAGACGAGTTGATTAGGTGAAGTTTCTGAAATTCCTTTTCTCCAAGTACAAATTGGGGTGGAAACCCCAATCTGCCTGGATATTGAGAGGATTCCAGGAGATCCCGGGTCTGGAGGTGGCTGGCCCGGTGCCTGGTGGAGGGGAGGGCTGAGTAAATAAGGGTTGTTGTTGTCATGATTAGATTTCTCAAGCAGTAAACCTTAACTCTCTATTTTCAGCTACCCCTCCTTCTCTGCTCAGAATCTGGGAGTTGTTACTAATACATTTTCCTAAGTACCTCCTATTCCCATTTATTTCCTGCCACTTCCCCCACCCTGAGCCTGGGCCACCTTCAATAATCTCACTCTAATTGGAAATTGGGGCTGTCAGGATGACCTTCCTCTCCCCTCCCCGGTTCTCACCTTCGTCCCCTTCTCTGACAGATGCGCACGTCCCCACAGCTCTAAGCAGAAGCCACCAACCAGGGGGGTGCCGTGAGGGAAGACTCCCATGGGCGCCGTGGCGGGCAGACCTGGTGCCCCAGACTTCAGCTGCCACGCAGGGAGTGAACCTGGCCCCTCTGCCAATTCTCCGTTATGAAATGCCGCCGCCCCCGGGGAGCCGTCTCCGGCCTTCCGCAGTGGCTCGGCAGCAGGTTTATCACACTCGCTGAGAGAAGACATAATCAATTCCCCAGCTGGCACTTTGCGCTGAATACCCACTTTTTCAGCTTGATAGCAGGACTAAATTAGTTATTTAGCAACTAGGCCCTAATTTAGAGCGAGCGAGAGCCTTGACAAGGATCATTGTTCAAGGCCATCCCCCCTTTGCCTTCAGATGGGAGGCCCACAAATCCCCAGAAGGTGATAAATAGACAATTAGAAAATAGATATATTTGGTTAGATCTACAAGGCTTCCCGGCGCTGTCAGGCTCACAATGAAGGGGGCCGGGGTAAATTGGTGGCCAATGAACACCAGCTGCACGGCCATCCGTCCTGCAGACACGCAGCCATATGTGGCCATTTACAGGCCATCCTGAAGAATAGATCGGACCAATAAGACCAGAGGGAACTAAAAATACTTGACAAAGTTGGCTGCTCTTCATTTAACAAGAATAAAATATCTAATGGGGTGTAATGGAAGCCATCAATCACCTGCTGCCAGAGCCAGCTATAACACCACACTTTAAACTATTAATGCAACTTCTTTTCTCTAATAAGTGGGACAGGCGCATCCGCTTTGTACACAGGGTGGCTGTTTGGGGAGTGTAGATGAATGGGAGATTCTGGAGAGCTGTGGCAGAGGATGAATTCTGGCCTAAAAATAGGAAAGGGATGGTGGGAATGTGAAATGGTGTCGCTGCTATGGAAAACAGTATGGCACTTCCCTAAGAAGTTCAGAAGACTTACCGTATGATCCAGCAATTCCACTCCTAGGTGTTTACCCAAAAGAATTGAAAGCAGGACTCAAACAGATACTTGTATGCCAGTGTTTATAGCAGCATTCTTCACAATATCCAAAAGGCGGACACAACCCAAGTGTGTACAAATGGACAAATGGATGAACAAAATGTAGTATATACGTACACTGGAATACTATACAGCCTTAAAAAGGAAGGAAATTCTGATATATGCTACCACATGGGTGAACCTTGAAAACATTATTCTAAGTAAAATAAGTCAGACACAAAAGAACAAATACTGCATGATTCCACTTACATGAGGCATCTAGAGTTGTCAAAGTCATAGAGACAGAAGGTGGGGTGGTGGTTACCAGGAGCTGGGAGGAGGGGAGAATGGGAAGTCATCATTTGATGAATATAGAGTTTCTGTAGGAAAAGATTTTAAAGTTCTGGAAACAGACAAAGATAATGGTTGTACAACTTTGTGAATGTACTTAATGCCATTAAATTGTATATTTAAAAATGGTTAAAACCACAAATTCTATGTTATATACTTTTTACCACAGTAAAAAAAAATTAATAGGAAAAGGAGAGCAGGCAAGACATTTGGAATCATCTGCTCAAATGGCAAACATTGCATTCAGCAGCTCAGGCTATTTGGTTATTTTCTACAGGATGAGGTATGTCAGTCCACCTGCTTCTTTCAATTCCAAGAAGCAGTCACTGAGCCCTCCTCTGCAAAGAACAAGGTCCTAGGCTGTAGGATGTGTGGGGAATCTGGCCATGCCTGCCCTCAAGGAGTTTTCATTCTACTACAGGAAACAGACACATGCAGAAAGAGCACAAAGAACCACAAGAGCCTGCAGAACTGCCCAAGTGGCGTAGGAGAGGGAAGAGGCAGAGATGGGGAAGGAGAGATGGAGCGTGGTAGGAAGGCTCTGGCACTGTTCATGAAAAGCAGGCCCCTTCGCTGGGGTGAGAACAGGCAAGATTGGGCCAGAAAGAGACAGAGGAAAGGCTCTCCAAGCAGAGGAAAGAATGTAGACAAAGATAAAGACCCTAGTGAGCAGGACACACATAACCCATTTGGCAGGAGTGGAGGACATGTGAAGGGGAGGAATAGAAGAGGAGGTGGGCTGGGTACAGTGCCTCACGCCTGTAATCCCAGCACTTTGGGAGGCTGAGGCGGGCAGATCACTTGAGGCCAGGAGTTCAAGACAGCCTGGCCAACATGGTGAAACCCCATCTCTACTAAAAACACAAAAAATTAGCTAGGCGTGGTGGTGGCACATGCCTGTAATCCCAGCTACTCCAGTGGCTGAGGCAGGAGAATCGCTCGAATCCAGGAGGTGGAGGTTGCAGTGAGCTGAGATCACACCATTGCACTCCAGCCTGGGGCGGCAGAGCGAGACCTTGTCTCAAAAAATAAAATAATAAAATAAAAAATGAAAAAATAAAGATGAGGTGGAAGATGGGGTTGAAAGCAGTCAAGGAAAGCCTTCATTTATTCATTTGTTCATTCATTTTACAAATATTTGTTAACTATGACATGCCAGATATTGGGATTTGTAGAAGAGAGATATACAGGTATAGAAGATAAGGTTTTAAATTGGTCAATTAAGTTCTATGTGTTTGGCCTTATAATATCAGATTTAAGAATCATCTTACAGGACACCACTCTCTGTCCCACGACTTCATCAGGAGAGAAGGGCCCAGATCCTCTTTACCTAGAATGACAACGTCTGCTTTTCACTCCGAGCGAAAGCCCTGCCCCTAACTCATCTCCTAGTCCTGCAATGTTGCCATGAAAGCAATTCTGGCCAGCGGGGAGGAGGAGGAAAGAGAAAGCTGGCACCTGCATCAGTTAAGATGTGTTCAGCTGTAATGAACGGGAACAGCAGCCCAAGCTGGCCTCTGCAATGAGGACATTGATTGGATCCCATAACTGGAAGTCAGAAGTACAGCAGACTCCTGGGTAGATGGATTTGGAGGGTCAGCCTTGCCATCAAATATTCAAGAGCTTTCTCTGTCTGTTGGAAATAGGATACTCACTAACCGATTTCCTCTTTTTCCAGAGCACACACCTTCCAGAGCACCAGCCTCCCTTGCAGGTAGATGTGGCCATGTGACTCAGTTCTAACTAATAGAATGTTGGTACAAGGGCATCACCTCCAAGCCTGGTGTGCAGAGACCACCCACACGCACGTCTCCATTGTGCCTTCCCTCATCTGCCAACCAGATCCAGAGGACCCCAAGGTCCAAGGGGATTGCAGAACCACCCATCTGGAGGAAGGTAATGCCCTAAATTACCACGTGTTCGGTTGCCAGGGCTGCCATAACAAAATACCACAGACTGTGTGGTTTAAATAACACATTTCTTCCCTAGTGGCCTGGAGGGTAGAAGCCCAAAGATCAAAACGTCTGCAGTTTGGTTTTGCCTTGTCTTGCACATGGCTACCTTCTCGCTTTGTCCTCAGAGTCTTTTCCTCTGTGTGTGTATGTCCCTGGTGTCTCTTTGTGTGTCATAATTTCCTCTTCTTAGAAGGACACCAGTCAGACTGGATCAGGGCCTACCCTAATGGCCTCATACTAACTTAATCACCCCTTTAAAGACCGTATCTCCAATACCTCACTTTCTGAAGCTCTGGGGATTAGAACTTGAGCATATTAGTCTTGGGGGAACACCATTCACTAGAACCTCGTGCAAGTTTTTTTCCAGACTCCTAGTTGGGGTTTACAAGATCAAGTAATAAACCCTGTTGTAAGGCATTGAGATTTGGGGTTTGTTTGTTAAGCAGCCAATGGGAATCATCCTGACTGATGGGCTATCATTCTGCACTGCAGTCAACAGTGAGCTGCATCAGAAAGCTGGTTGCAAGATGGCTGCCAAGAGAATCAGGGCTGTCGGCTTCCCTGTTTACATCCATTGATAGAGAGAGTGTCACTTCCAGAAGCTCTCCAGAACAGCGAGGACCCTCCTTTCCCAGAAGCCCCTAACAAACCTTCCCTCAATTTTCTTTGGCCAGAAATGTGTCACATGCCCATGATCAAGCACCACGACTGGGAAAATGGAATTATTCTGATTGGCTTATATAATAAAGGCACGTCCATTTCCTCCCAAGCACATGACTGCATGGGAGAGGAAGGGATATCAGCACAAAACTGGAATTTTATTAGGTGGGGGGAAGAGAGAACAGATGTTGAGAATACAACCAACAACATCAGCTCCGACACTTTTATCAAGGTTCTCTTTGTTCTAGAGCCTTTAGGGACCAGAGCTCTGCAAAGCCCAGCCCTGTATGGGCAACTTTTAAAAGATCATATAGAATGTAAGGATTTGCAGAGATTTTTTTGAGATCATCTATTCTAAACCAGTCTCTTTATTGTATGAATGGAGAAAGTGAGGCCCCAGGAGTTGGTGGTGATGCCAAGACCGGATGCAGGCAGCCTGACCCCCACACCAGGCCTTCCTTCAATCCAACAGTGGTTTCCACATCTTACAACTCCTCAGGAACCCCTGGGGAAATTTCTAGGAATACAGATTCCCAGACCTTGCCCCGGGTTAAATCAGAATCTATAGAAATGGATTCCAGCATTTTGTCTTTTTTAAAATCTTTCTAGTTTATTTTGGTTCAGACAGGTTTGGAAATTAGAATATCACACTTTCTCTCTCTTTTTTTTTTTTTTTAGACAGAGTCTTGCTCTGTCACCCAGGCTGGAGTGCAGTGACATGATCTTGGCTCACTGCAACCTCCACCTCCCGGGTTCAAGTGATTCTCTAACCTCAGTCTCCCAAGTAGCTGGAATTACAAGCGCCTGCCACCATGCCTGGCTAATTTTTGTATTTTTAGTAGAGATGGGGTTTCGCCATGTTGGCCAAGCTGGTCTCGAACTCTTGACCTCAGGTGATCCACCCGCCTCGGCCTCCCAAAGTACTGGGATTACAGGTGTGAGCCACTGCGCCTGGCCAAGAATACCAAACTTTTTCTAGAGAAATAATTCTTAAATTCCAACTTGCCTTAAGAACAGAACATCTTGTGAATTCAGTTAATCTAGGAGTATTATTTTTAAGTCAACCCAGAAGATTAATCTTCTCATGGGCAAGTCATATGTTCTTAGGGTCTCAGTTTCCCTGTCAACAGATGATAGATAACAACCATGATCCCTGTATCACCAGAGCTATAGTGAGGCCCCTATGAGATTAACGGGACATGAGCATCCTGTGAAACTGTTAAGCACGATTGTCTAATTTGTCAATCCAAACTGCCTTCCAGCCCAGCTAAGAAACATTTAAGAAAACATACTAAAGGTACTTCTTCCATATGGACTGAGCCATCAATCTGAAAGATCCCACGGCTGGAAAGCCAGGTCCCCACAGATGGAGGCCAGACCCTGTCCTCAACCCACCACCCACTTGGGGAGGCTCCCACCCGGCCACTGCTGAGTTCATGCATTATTCAATCATAAGAGTCACCCTACAGTGGCCTGCTGGTGTCCTTCACACAGCCTGAGTGTCTTCAGGTAGGGCAAACAAGAAACAAGAAGCTGAATGACTTTGAACACACCTGCAGAATGCAGATGGGCCAGGTGCTTTGGCAGCGTGGGGCTGAGTGCTCTTCGTGGGGAAGGCAGAAGAGGTCTGGGCATTCGAGGGGACGATGACAGCTACAGAATGTTGGCCATCAGGTTCTTGGTAATGCCTGTGGTTTGGGATTTTAGTAGTCTTTTTTCCTCCAAGAATGTCTATTTGGGTTTATTGTAAAAATTTTTTGTATTTCAGTTTTTAAGCACATGCATGCTTCTTAACCCATTTGACCCCCAAAACCACCGTGTACATAAATAGATTGAATGTTTCCTCTTCTTGAATTTGGCTTGCTCTGCTTGAGTCCTGGTTCACCAAGTTTGAATTCAACGCAGTCCCTCTGCTCACTGCTTTATACACAATGGTGAATGCAAGGACCCTACGTTCTCTTTCTTTTCCCATCTGACTTATGCCAAATAATTAATTCATTTAGCAAATTGTGTTACTTAGGATTCACAGGTAGCAGGAAACCAACTCGAATGAGCTTGAATGAGATAGATGGAGTTTTGTTTTGTTTTGTTTTGTTTTGAGACGGAGTTTCACTCTTGCTGTCCTGGCTGGAGTGCAATGGTGCAATCTCGGCTCACTGCAACCTCCGCCTCCCGGGTTCAAGCAATTATCCTTTCTCAGCCTCCTGAGTAGCTGGGATTACAGGCATGCACCACCATGCCCAGCTAATTTTGTATTTTTAGTAGAGATGGGGGTTCCATCATGTTGGTCAGGCTAGTCTCAAACTCCTGACCTCAAGTGATCTACCCCGCCTCAGCCTCCCAAAGTGCTGTGATTACAGGTGTGAGCTACCGTACCTGGCGGAAGACAGAGTTATTATAAGGATAAAAGAGAAGCTCGTGGAACCCATGAACAGGAATATGGCAGGGTCCCAGTGCAAAACCCAGGGGTACAGACTTTGCCAGGACACTCTCTTCATTTCCCTTTTCTGGCTGGATATTTATATCCTCTCTCTCTCTCACTCTCTCTCTCTGCCTTCTCTAGTTCTCTGGTTCAAAGATAAAGAAATATGGTGACCAATGGTGCCTGAGCTTTGCCTCTTAATGTTTCTATTCACTGAGAAGAAAGAAATCTAAGCTTCCTTCTATCCCAAATTTTAAAAGCCCTAGGAGACAGCTTACTGTCCCAAATAACCACTCCTGGACCAATTACTAGTGGGAAACACCCCACCATATAGATAAAATAGGGGATTAGCGGGTAATCCTAGAAGAAGATGGTTTGGTGCTAGGGAACAAAACAAAATGTGTCCATTACACAAATATTTCTATAGTCCATCACGTGTGAGACATTCATTCAAAAATATGTATTGAGCACCTACTATATGCTAGCCACTGTGGTAGACACTGGAGACAAAGCAGTGAACCAGACATTACCCTTGCCGTCAGGGAGTTTACAGTCTATCTGGCAAGATAGATGACATATAGTTATAGTTATACTCAATAATTTATTGCAGTTATGGTGTTATGAAAAAAGAGGACAGGATAGAAAGGATACACGTGGACAGGATACAGACCAAACCAAGGTCAGGACAGGATATTGACCCTGTTTGGATGGAGGAGAGGTCTTCCCAGAGGAAGAGAGATTGAACCTATGATTGAAGGAGTAGCAGTTAGTTGGAAACTCTACTGAGACTCCTGAAAACTTAAAGATGGAGCTGCCATCTTCAAGAAATTTCAATCTAACACAGCTGTGTTTCTGGAAGAACTCCATAGAACATTGGGTCCACAGCATATTAACAAGTTTCCAATTTTTTAAAAAAAAAAGGTTGTGTAGTCAAATACATTTTGGAAACACTGCACTTAACACAGTTAAACTGTTCTTTTTACTGCAAAACTTGTTAGAGATTTTTATATGCCATGGTGCCCTGAGAATCTCCAAAGATATTCTCTTTCTCAATCAAGTCAAGCATTTAAAAGTGATATCTTCAAATGCAGGCAAAAGTGCTCTGTTGGAAAACCCTATCAACTTATGGAAGGTAAGATACCTAGCCAAGAACACATAGCTCATAAATGATAGAGCATGGACTCTGTAGACCTTTCCACTGGCCTATCTTCTCCTCCATCTTCCTTGCATGATGATAGAGGTTATAGATGCACAGTAACTACTTTCCAGCCTTCTTTATAGCTGTGGATGGCCATGAAACCCATTTCTGCTAGGGACATGTCAGAATTTTGCTTGAAGGCTTGTGAGAAAGACAAACCTTGCTCCCGATATAAGGAGAGGCTTATAGGATGAGTTCTGATACTGTTTGGCTGTGTCCCCACCCAAATCTCATCTTGAATTGTAGCTCCCATAATTCCCCCATGTTGTGGGAGGGACTCGGTGAGAGATAATTGAAGCATGGGGGCAGTTTCTCCCATACTGTTCTCATTGTAGTGAATAAGTCTCATGAGACCTGATGGGTTTGTTTTTGTTTTTGAGACGGAGTTTCACTTGGCTGGAGTGCAATGGTACGATGTAGGCTCAGTGCAACCTCCACCTCCCAGGTTCAGGTAATTCTCCTGCCTCAGCCTCCCGAGTAGCTGGGATTACAGGTGCCCGCCACCATGCCCGGCTATTTTTTTGTATTTTTAGTAGAGACAGGGTTTCGCCATGTTGGCTAGGCTGGTCTTGAACTCCTAACCTCATGTGATCCACCCACCTCGGCTTCCCAAAGTGCTGGGATTACAGGTGTGAGCCACTGCACCCAGCCAATCTGATGGTTTTATAAGGGGAAACCCCTTTCATTTGGCTCTCATTCTCTCTTGTCTGCCACTATGTAAGACATGCCTTTTGCCTTCTGCCATAATTGTGAGGCCTTCCCAGCCATGTGGAACTGTGAGTCCATGAAATCTCTTTATCTCTATGAATTACCCAGTCTCAAGTAAGTCTTTATCAGCAGCATGAAAACAGAAAAATACAAACTCCCTCCCTTTCTGCTTTTGGACTCTGTTGACAGCAGATGTGGTGCTCTGAGCTACTGCAGCCATCCTGTGACCATGAGCGGAGACATCACCAACGCCACGAATGTGGTAAAACATAAAGCAGGTGGGAATGGCATTAGCCTTTGGTTGTATTGTTAGGCTGCTGGACTTAACAGCAGCTCTGGATTGATTTCTGGCTATGAATACCCACTTTAACGAGAATGTTCTATTACTGCAGCCCGAAGAACATCCTTACTAATTCAACTCTCAACCATGGTCATGCATCTTGAAGTTTTAAAATACAGAATGTCTTTCTGTGTAACATTTTCTTGGTAGAATGCATCTTAGTTTAAATTTCATAGAATGTATGTACCTTTCAATATATTATTTCAGCAAATATTCAAAAAGGGGAAATTTATATTTATGACTTCAAAAACTCACTGTAGATTTCTCAAAGAGCTAAAAATAGAGTTACCGTTTGACGCAGCAGTCCCATTTACTGGGTTCATGCCCAAAGGAAAATAAATGCTTCTACCAAAAAGACACTTGCACTCATATGTTTATTGTAGCATTATCCACACAATAGCAGAGACATGGAATCAATCCAGGTGCCTATCAGCAGTGGATTGGATAAAGAAACTGTGGTGCATATACACTATGGAACACTATGCAGCCATAGAAAGAACAAAATCATGTCCTTTGCAGTAACATGGATGCAGCTGGAGGCCATTATCCTAAGCAAATTAATGCAGAAACAGAAAACCAAATATCACATGTTCTCACTTATGGGTGGGAGCTAAACATTGGATGCACATGGACATAAAGATGGGAACAATAAATACAAGGGATTTCAAAAGCAGGGAGGTAAGGAGGAAGGCAAAGTTTGAAAAACTACCTATCAGGTACTACGTTCACTACTTAGGTGACAAGATCATTAGAAGCCCAAACCTCAGTGTTATACAATACCTCCATGTAACTAACCTGCATGTGTACACCCTGAATCTACAAAAAAACCACATATCGGCCGGGTGTGGTGGCTCACGCCTGTAATCCCAGCAGTTTGGGAGGCTGAGGCAGGTGGATCATGAGGTCAGGAGTTCAAGACCAGCCTGGCCAAGATGGTGAAACCCTGTCTCTACTAAAAATACAAAAATTAGCCGGGCACGGTGGCAGGCGCCTGTAATCCAAGCTACTCGGGAGGCTGAGGCAGGAGAATCGCTTGAACCTGGTAGGTGGAAGTTGCAGTCAGCCAAGATCGTGCCATTGCACTCCAGCCTGTGCGACAAAGTGAGAATCCATCTTAAAAAAAAAAACCACCACACCTCACTGTGACATTATGAACAAAACAATGACTGAAAAAATTCTCCTTATATTCCAACTCCGATTAGTAGACTGTCAGAATCGACATGCACAATTTTGAACGTCACATCTCAGATGGGGCTGGCACTAAAAGAGACATTGTCACTGCACACAAAAATCTGTTGACAACCCAACTGATCATTTAATGCTAGAAGGGATGTTGTAATTTTTCCATTGTAATGTGATAGTTTATAACATATATAAAGGCATTTGATTATGCTGTAATTATATTTTTAGGAAAATTTGGTTAAAGGTTTTGGGTTGACATATGACATTGTATTTTATTCCCATCTGAAATAATGGAAAATAGGCTCCAGTCAGCATTTTTATAGAAAATGTCTGATTTTCAGGAATGGATTGCTGAAAGTACAGATGCCTGTAATTTCCTGTGGCAGGAAACCTGAATTTGAATTGTTTTAGAAATACCTCCACTGAAATACAAATCAATACTCTTCTTGTATTAAGAATCAATATGATAATTGGCTATATTAAGAGTTTCTGCATCTTCTGCAGAACAGCAATTACTAATTCGTTGTCCATAAAACCACTGAGCCACAGGCCTGGCTGTGCCTCACACCCACCTGAGGAGTCTTTCAAATACATAAATGTACATGCCCCACCCTAGACAAATTAAACAATTTCTGGGGATGGGGCTCATGCATCCGAATTTTTTAAACTTCCCAGATCATTCTAAAGTTTGAGAACCATTGCTCTAAACAACAAATTTCTCCAAGAGCTTAGAAGTAGGCAAATATTGACATGACAACAAGAATTATGAAACCCACTTATTTCCTTTTTTATTTTGGCTCCCAGGAAACTCTGTCAAGCTTAGTTATAATAACTCTCTTGTTCCTGGTTCTTCAATTAACTCTTTCCTTTCTCCAGATGTCCAGATGCTTTTACCTGGATGTCTCGATGCTTTCATCTTAATTCACTTGTATTACAATAAAATTCCAAATTTTCTGTGTCCCATCATCAGAACTTCCACCTACCCTTACCAACCATTCTAGCATACATGACCACACACACACACACACACACACACACACGCACACACCCCTACACACACACCAGTGTTTATCCTACTATTCTATTCCTGGAAGTCACACCTCCTGCTTTTGACTTTTTTTTTTTTCTCCTCCTGAAGTGTGATTGCCTTAAACGTGTTCTACAGTGGTTAAAACCTTGACTAATCCAATTTTCTATGAATCAAGGATATCAAATATTAACATCAACCTACTCTCTGTAGCTAAAAAATATTTTACTTTGGGAACAAAATATATGGCCTCATTTATGCCTGAATTCGTCAACCAGCTAAACTTTTTTGTGTTGCTCTTTTCATAACCTCCGACAAAGTGATATGGAATTAGACACCCTGTGAACTGTTTTTTGGCTCTAATGTGTGGGCTGCGCTTCACTAGAGGGAATAAAATAATCCACTGTCATTTCTGTTTTTATCATATTCACTTTTGGCAGAGAATTTATCCACTCTTCAATATAGAGTTATTTATGTGCTACAGTCTTGCATTTTTGCATTCCCCAGAGAACGCACCATTAAAACTCTTAATGTGACACCTCATATTTTTAGTAGACTAGAAAATAGTTACAATTTTAATTTAAATTGAAATGACTGTGTAATAGCTGGACAAATCAGTTTGAGATCCCCAGAGCTCTTAATTGTAATTCTCCATTGTTTTCTATGCATAAATTTCTTTTCCAAAGTGCTCATTTTGAAATATTCACTCATTTTTTCAGCTGTTCCACGCTCATTCCAAACTCACTTATTTAATAATTTTCTATGGTTAACAACTTCATGATTAAACTTTAATGTTAAATATAAATGGTTGAAATAATAAGCTTATTAGAGTGTTTAGAAAAGAAAGAGGATTAGACATTTAAGAAATGATGAATTTAAGTATCAAGAGTAAGGAAAGGAGAGATATTCGTTCTGGCCAAGAACAAAGCAGAAGCACAGATGTAATAGTATATATATATATGTGGAGAGAGAGAGATTAGAGATATATATGGTACAGGTTTAGTATCCCTTACTCAAACTGCTTGGGACAAGAAGTGTTTCAAATTTTTTCAGATTTGGAAATATTTGCATCATACCGGTTGAGCATCCCTAATCCAAAAATCTGAAATCTGAAATGTTCCGATGAGGACTTCCCTTGAGCATTATTTTGGAGCTCAAAAAGTTTCAGATTTGGGAGCATTTGGGGTTTGGGGATTAGGGGTTCTCAACCTGTGGATATGATGTCTAAGTCTTCTCCAAGCAATGGGGAGAGGAACTTAATATGACAGAATTGTGGGCTGGAAGCAGCTGGGAAGTGTATGGTCTAACCTACTCATTTTATGAACTCAGAATACAAGGTTCAGAAAAGGGAAAGATATTTTTCAAAATCAAATTATTTATTAGCCAAGACCAGCCTAAGAGAAGAATCGGAAACGAACTAAAAGAAGGCAGGGAGAATTCTACTAAAGCAGTCAAATAGCCTCCTTGTGTCCACCAACACAAATGTCAGGACTGAACAATAAATTATATCATAGCCTCCCACTTACCTGCCACGCTGAGGATGTTTCATGGCGTCTGACTTTTAGTTTAAAAACAACAGCAACATCAGAAAAAAACAATACCTGAGAAACTGTGAGATCAGATTTTGTTTTAATCCTTCTGGCAATGCTAAGAAGATAAAAATATCTCCAAGAGAAAACTGATGGAGGCCAGGCATGGTGGCTAACACCTGTAATCCCAGCATTTTGTGAGGCCAACATGGGCAGATCTCTTGAGCTCAGGAGTTTGAGACCAGTCTGGGCAACATAGCAAGACCTCGTCTCTAAAAATAATAATAATAATAATACAAAAATTAGTGGGGTGTGGTGGCACGTGCCTGTAGTCCCAGCTACTTGGGAGGCTAAGGTGGGAGGATCACTTGAGCTCAGGAAGTCAAGGCTGCAGTGAGCTGTGTTCGCGCCACTGCACTCTAGCCTGGGTGATAAAGTGAGACCTTGATTCAGAAAAAAAAAAAAAAAAAAGAAAATGGTGGAATGTCTCTTATATAAGCCTTGAAAGGTTTGCTCAGCTCCTTTGAACATTGTTGGAAGAAAGGACATCTATTCTTCCCCTCTGTGGCACACACAAAACCCCCAGGAGACACACACACACACACACACACACATGCACGCACACACGCACATACACACAAGGGCCTAATAAGAACTGACTGCTGAGCTGTCCCTGTACTTAATGAAGAAGACTTAAACCACCTACACAAGAGCCATGGAGAGGTTACTGGAGACCTGGGGTCTAATACTGACTCTGGCATTGACCTGGGTCAAGTTCATTTTCCACCCTAGGCCTCAATTTCCTCATCTGCAGGATGAGAAGTTAGGCCACAGGACCACCCTTCCCTCTAATTTTCCATGGCTTCTCATTCCATCAGTTAACTCCATCTTCTTGCCCTTTATTCAGCATCTACTGAGCATCTTCTTAGGCAAGACTATGCTTGGCACGGGGAACATCAGAGTGAACAAGACACTGCCCCTCCCCTCCAGGGGCTCAGAGCCTACAGGAATGAGACAAACAGTATAGAATGTGGGAGGGAAGCAAGAGGGCGTTTAGGATAAACATGAAGTTTCCGGCATGAGCTTTGAATGGGTGGTCATGCCATTGTCCAAAATGGATGGAGTGACCGTACAATGTATCATACAAACCAGGACACTTTTGGAGTAAAAGAGAGAATTATTAATAATTATGCTGGGAACAACAGGCTTCAACTGAGACCATCCCAGGAAACCTGGGATGTATATCACCCTGAAAATGGAGACTATGCAGAAAGTAGATTTGGGGGGATAGTAGTTTGACTCTAGAAATGTTGCCTTTTAGGTGACTATGGAACATCCAAATGGAATTGTGCACACAGGGACTTGGGACTCAGGAGAGAGGTCTGGGCCAGAGATACAGATTTGGGACCCAACAGAAGCCATTGAGATGCCGGGATCATCCAGAGAAATGTGAAGAGTATGAAGAGAAGGGGGTCAAAGTAAGAGCCTGGAATCAAGGGGAAGGCAGAGGAAAAAGCTGAAGAGCAGACTGAGAGATGTGGTAGGAATGGTGGGAAAATCTGAAGAGGGTAAAATCAAAGGCAGGCAGCCATGCAGATGGAAGAGGCGGTCAGCAGAGTCAGGCTGTGAAGAGAAACAGTGATCACGGAGTCAGCAAGTAAGTCAAAGGTGCCCTTGGAGATTCCACCTCTGAGCATTTCCTGCACAGCCACACTCTAAGATCACCCTAAAACCTAGAGATTTCTCACCTTACCTTTAAAACAAGTCCCATCTGAAACAGATGCCTGTCTGTGCATCTGATACCCAAAGGCTGCAGGGTACTATCTGATATGGTTTCACTCTGTGTCCCCACCCAAATCTCATCCCAAATTTTAATCCCCATGTGTCAAGGGAGGGATCTGGTGGGAAGTGATTGAATCATGGGGGGCAAATTTCCCCTATGCTGTTCTCATGATAGTAAGGGAGTTCTCACAAGATCTGATACTTTAAAAGTGTGGCACTTGCCCCCACCTTCCTCCTGCCACCACATAAGACGTTCCTTGCTTCCCTTCACGTTCTGCCATGATTGTAAGTTTCCTGAGGTCTCACCAGCCATGCAGAACTGTGAGTCAATTGAACCTCTTTTCTTTATAAATTACTCAGTCTCAGGTAGTTCTTTATAGCAGTGTGAAAACGGACTCATACAGAAAATTGGTACCAGAAGTAGGGCACTGCTATAACAATACTTGAAAATATGGAATTGACTTTGGAACTGGGTACCAGGCAGAGGTTGGAAGAGTTTGGAAGGCTCAGAAGAAGACAGGAAGATGGGGGAAAGTTTGGAACTTCCTAGAGACTTGTTGAATGGTTTTGGCCAACATGCTGATAGTGATATGGACAATAAAGTCCAGGCTGAGGCGGTCTCAGATGGAGATGAGTAACTTATTGGGAACTGGAGCAAAAGTCACACCTATGCTTTAGCAAAGACAGTAATGGCATTTTGCCCCTGCCCTAGAGACCTGTGGAACTTTGAACTTGAGAGAGATGATTTAGGGTATCTGGCAGAAGAAACTTCTA
This sequence comes from Homo sapiens, assembly GCF_000001405.40. Taxonomy (NCBI): domain Eukaryota; kingdom Metazoa; phylum Chordata; class Mammalia; order Primates; family Hominidae; genus Homo; species Homo sapiens. Next base: position 36,699,546 of record NC_000009.12, on the reverse strand, counting down.
AGCAGCAAAGCATTCAAGATGTGACCTGGCTTTTTCTGAAAATGTACAGTCGTATGCATTCACAAAGAGATGGTCTGAAGTTGGAACTTATGTTTAAAAGGGAAGTAGAGGGTAAAAGTTTTGAAAATTTGCAGCCTAACCATGTGGTAGAAAAGAAAAACCCATTTTCTAGGGAAGAAAGTCAAGCCTGCTGCAGAAATTTGCATGAGTAACAAGGAGCCAAATGTTAATAACCAAGACAATGGGGAAAACATCTCCAGGGCATTTTCTCCAGGGAAACTTCTCCTGTGATGGGAGGGGCTGCTCAGATCTTCATGGCAGCCCCTTTTATCACAGGCCTGGAGGCCTAGGAGGGAAAAATGGTTTCCTGTGCTGGGCCAGGGCCCCGCTGCTCTGTGCAGCCTCAGAACATGGTGCCCTGTGTTCGAGCCACTCCAGTTCCAGCCATGGCTAAAAGGGGCCAAAGTACAGCTTAGGCAGCTGCTTCACAGGGTCCAAGCCCCAAGCCTTGGCAGCTTCCACGTGGTGTTAGGCCTGTGGGTGTGCAGAAGATAATAGTTAAGGTTTGGGAACCTCTGCCTAGATTTCAGAGGATGTATGGAAATGCCTGGATGTCTAGGCAGAAGTCTGCTGCAGCAGTGGAGCCCTCATGGGGAACCTCTACTAGGGCAATGCAGAGGGGAAATATGGGTTGGAGCCCCCACACAGAGTCCCCACGGGGGTACTACCTAGTGGAGCTGTGAGAAGAGGACCACCATCCTCCAGACCCTAGAATGGTAGATCCACTGAAAGCTTGCACCATGCAACTGGAAAAGCCTCAGGCACTCAATGCCAGCATGTGAAATCAGCCGCAGGGGCTGTACCCTGCAGAGCCACAGGGGTGGATCTGCCCAAGGCCTTGGGAGCCCACCTCTTGCATCAGTGTGTCCTGGATGTGAGACATGGAGTCAAAGGAGAGAATTTTGGATATTTAAGATTTAATGACTGCCCTGTTGGGTTTTGGACTTGCATGGGGCCTGTAGCCCCTTTGTTTTGGCCAATTTCTCCCATTTGGAATGCGAGCATTTACCCAATGTTTGCACTCCCATTGTATCTCAGAAGCAACTAACTTGCTTTTGATTTTACAGGCTTATAGGCAGAAGAGACTTCCCTTGTCTCAGATGAGACTTTGGACTTGAACTTTTGGGTTAATGCTGAAATTAGTTAAGAGTTTGGGGGACTGTTGGGAAGGTATCATTGTGTTTTGAAATGTAAGAAAGACGTGAGATTTTGGAGGGGCAAAGGGCAGAATGATATGGTTTGGCTCTGTGTCCTCACCCAAATCTCATCTCAAATTGTAATTCCCACATGTTGAGGGAGGGACCTGGTGGGAGGTAATTGGATCATGGGGGCGATTTCCCCCATGCTGTTCTCATGATAGTGAGTGAGTTCTCATGAGATCTGATGTTTTAAAAGTGTGGCACTCCCACTCTCTTTCTCTCCTGCCACCATGGAAGATGTGCTTTGCTTCCCCTTCATCTTCTGCCATGATTGTAACTTTCCTGAGGCCTCCCCAGCCATGCAGATCTGTGAGTCAATTAAGCCCCCTCTTTATAAATTACCCAGTCTCAGGTAGTTCTGTATAGCAGTGTGAAAATGGACTAATGCACTATCTAAAAGAACAAACTGCATCATGGACCTGGAAAGAACTTTACAACTGTAAATACTGTACTGAAGTCCTCTCTCCTCTACCTAACATACTTTCTGTCTACAATGTGAAGCAATTTCTCCTCACCTTCATCCTCATTCCCTTCTGCCTTTGATATTCATAGGTCTTACTGGTCTAGCCTCTACCCTATTATTCTTGCAGCCAAATTCATGAGCATGTGGTCTGAGCTTCTTGTCTCCACATCCCCACCATTCTCTTGTCTTCCTGAGGCCAAGCTTCTGCCCCTACCACATTCTAGAAACTGCCCCTGGCTCCTCCTTGACATATCCAAGGCCCTCTTCTCATTCCCTAGACTCTTTGTCCTCTGCAGCATCCAGTACTTCCAATTATCCCTCCTTCAAAGGTCTCCACTCTTGGCTTTGATGACTTACTGTTTCTTTTCTCATTTCTCTTCAACTTCTTCACCTACTTTTTAGGGCCATGGTTTACAAAGGCTGGGTCTAGCTGCAGTTTGCCTAAGGCTTAGACCTAGTCATATATTGGAATAGGGCCACGGGAGATGCTGAGCCATTGGTCAGGGCTTAATTTCTCCTTCCTAAAGCCTGATCCTACGCTTGAACTTTCTATCAAGAAACTCCTTCCACTCTACAACCTAAAATCCAGGTCCTAGATTCTCAAGTCAAGGACCTCATAGAATTATTGCCTCTCAGGGTTTGAAGGTGACCCCAAGTAATTTAGTTCCAACACCACCTAATCCTTATAACCCCTCCTCAGCAGTCCCAGTGGAGGGACTCTGATGCTTCTGCGTGAGCACTCCAGGGACGGAGAACTTGCCACTTCCAGGGCAAGCATCTTTCCTTCCCAGACAGCTAAAAAGAAAGTCTGCCTTCTATCGAGCCAAACTAGACTTATTATACCCATGCATTTGGTCTTTTTAATACTATATGGGTCTACCCAGAAGAGGCCAAATTCCTCTTGCACACATCTTCCTATTTTTGAAGACGCCTGTCCCATCTCCTCCTCAGTCTCTCCCTGCAAAGCCTGGCCACCTCCACTATTTTCACCACTCCTCACAACACAGCTTCAAATCCCCTCACAACCCTGACCCACTTATCTGACTGTAACCATTTCCAATAGTGGTGTGTGTGTGTGTGTGTGTGTGTGTGTGTGTGTACAAAGGGAATTTCTGTAAGTAGTTCATTTTCGCAAACATCAGGGAACAATTTCCAAGAGGCAGCATGACATATGATGACATAGGAACAAGGTTATACAGAGCCCAGCACATCAGACAGTCTGGAAAACCCTTAAGTGAAGAATGCTTGTCTTCATGAAACCTTGATAATTTAGAAGGGACAATGACTATCAGAAGCAGTCAAGGTCTCCGTTAAATCCGGCAAAGCAAGGCGACTAGAAGGGGGGGCTTCTCATGCAAGGGGACCCTTTGGTCTTTAGCGACATCATTATCTGTGGGTTATTATCATTACTACAAATACTAATACACTTTTATTAAGCACTGGCAATGACCCAGGGCAAGTGAGTTTAAGTTCATATTATATCCATTTTCATTATCAAGAGAAAAGAGGAGAATGAACAAAGGACTATAATGTGAAATTCTAAAGTAGGAAAAATGAAAAAAGGTTAATTAAAAAAAACTCACAGAGTAAAGAGAAAGGCTCCAACTGTTTGTAGTTAGGAGCTGTGATGGATGGTGGATCTTGTCACCCTGGACTTGTCCCCTGTGATTTCTTTTCATCTCTCTCTCTCTAAAAAAAGATCCTCCTCTTAGTTAAGGACATGGCAGGGACAGGAGAAGGGGTGAGGAGAAGGGAAGTAGACTTTGATCTAAAGGGCCCCTTGGGCTCTGAAATTCTGCAAATCAATGCTTTCTAATTCTATTATCTAGCCCAAAACAAAATCAAATTTAACATTAAGCATACATTAAAATGCAAAAATTAAATAAAAATATTAAATGCTGAGAGATGGCCCCTTCCCCAAAGCTCTTTTTAGCACCTCTAACACTGAAATACTGAAGTACACCACTCTCACCTTTGGCCTCTGGTTTATGTCATTCAGGACAAATGTGAGAAGTTTCCTGTTAGCCATCAAACTTTTTCTTTTCTTTTTTGAGACAGGATCTCCTCTGTCACCCAGGCTGGAGTGCAGTGGCACAATCACGGCTCACTGCAGCCTTGACCTCATCAGGCTGAGGTGATCCTCCCACCTCAGGCTCCTGAGTAGCAGGGATTACAGGGACACGCCACCATGTCCGGCTAATTCTTGTATTTTTTTATAGAGATGGGATTTCGCCACGTTGGTCACTGTGGTCTCGAACTCCTGGGCTCAAGTGATCTGCCTGCCTTGGCCTCCCAAAGGGCTGGGATTACAGGTGTGAGCTAGCATGCCTGGCCCACCAAACTTCTTTGAAAGTCTCCTATGAAATTACATCTTTCTTTTTTTTTTTTTTTTTTGAGATGGAGTTTCACTCTTGTCACCCAGGCTGGAGTGCAATGGCGCCATCTTGGCTCACTGCAACCTCTGCCCCCTGGGTTCAAGCTATTCTCCTGCCTCAGCCTCCCGAGTGGATGGGATTATAAGCACCTGCCATCACGCCTGGCTAATTTTTGTGTTTTTAGTAGGTTTCGCCATTTTGGTCAGGCTGGTCTCGAACTCCTGACCTCAGGTGATCCACCGGCCTCAGCCTCCCAAAGTGCTGGCATTATAGGCGTAAGCCACCACACCCAGCCTAAAATTACATCTTTTGCTATACACTGTATGTTTGACCATTTGGATTATGCTTCTATGAAGTTCTTCTTCTCCATCAAGGGAATGACTGAAGTTTTCCAGAGAGATTGTCCAAATGAGGGTGAGAATTTAGGACACCAAGCAGGTGAGCAGAATGGACACCTCAATGTAGAAGAGATGTGCTGTTCAGGCCAGAGCATCTTGGGAAGGAATGTGTATTTTGAGTATTTTTACATCACACAGGGAACTATTTGTAGCTACCCCGCTGGAGCTATTTACCTTGCTGAAACTTTTTTTTAACTTTTATTTTAGGGTCAGGGGTACCTGTGCAGGTTTGTTACATAGGTAAACTCTCCACCTTTCCAAATTACACATCAAGCCCTGATGTCATTTGTGATGTCAGCTATCAGGAACCCTAAATTAGGTGTGTGTGTGTTTGCACGTGTACAGAAACAAACCTGCAAATAAGCAGTGCCTTACCCAAGGTGTTCCAGGTCTGGAGTCCAAGTGCCTGAGTTCCAAAATCTAGTGCTTTTCCCACTAATGTGCACAGCCTCATAGGCAGTGATTCAACACCACAGCTGGTCTTCGAGAATTCTACTGTGCCTCACAGTAGGAATAAGAGGTCATATGCCAGACCTTTCTCTCATATGCTATGAGAAACAGGTGGCTTACAGAGAAAATTGTGTAGAAAGGACCCACCAAAAAATCTTATGTGTAAACTTGTATGCATCTTGGTGGCACCCGGTGTGCTTTTCACTAAGGCCCTAAGCAACTTGATGGCAGGATAATACATATTTACTTTTCCATATACCACCTAGCAACAAGTATGAAGTTCAAATTTAATGAATGTTGACTGGATAAATGAGCTAAATGAAGTTAGAAGTGAGCCAAGAATGAATAAGCTGGGTGCCGTGACATGCACCTGTAGTCCCAGCTATTTGAAAGGCTGAGGCAAGAGGATCACTTGAGCCCAGGAGTGCAAGATCTGCCTTGGCAATATAGCAAGACCCTATCTCAGAGGAGGAGGAGGAGGAGGAGGAGGAAGAAATTAAATTAATATTCAATAAATGGTATTGGGTCAAATAGCTAATCATGGGGCAACATAGCAAGACCCCATCTCAAAGGAGGAGGAGGAGGAGAAGGAGGAGAAAGGAGGAGGAGGAGGAGAAGGAGAAGGATAAGAAAAGGAGGAGGAGGAGGAAGGAGAGGGGTAGGAGAAGGACGGAGAGCGGGAGGAGGAGGAGGAGGAGAAGAAGGAAAAGGAGAAGGAGGCCAGGTGGAGTGGCTCATGCCCATAATCCCAGCAGTTTGGGAGGCAAAGGCAGGTGAATCACCTGAGGTCAGGAGTTCCAGACCAGCTTTGCCAACACGGTGAAAGAATTCACCTTGCAAGTATTCACCATCCAATTGTGAACAATTGTCATGCATCCACCATTATAGTATCATAGGAAATAGTTTTACCATCTAAAAATCCTCTATGCTTCACCTATCACCTATTCAACACCCTCCCCCTGCCCCCCTACTACCATTGGCAACAACAAATCTTTTTTTTTTTTTTTTTTTTTTTTTTTTTGAGACAGAGTCTCAGTCTGTTACTCAGGCTGGAGTGCAATGGTACAATCTAGGCTCACTGTAACCTCCGCTTCATGGGTTCAAGCAATTCTCCTGCCTCAGCCTCCTGAGTAGCTGCAATTACAGGTGTCTGCCACCAAGCCCAGCTAAGTTTTGTATTTTTAGTAGAGACGGAGTTTCACCATGTTGGCCAGGCTGGTCTCAAACTCCTGACCTCAAATGATCCACCTGCCTCAGCCTCCCTAAATGCTGGGATTACAGGCATGAGCCACTGCACTGGGCCAACCACGAATCTTTTTAATGTCTTTATATAGTTTTGCCTTTTTCATAATGTCAAATAATTGGAATCATTCAGTAGGTAGTATTTTCAGACTGATTTCTTTCACTTAGAAATATACATTTAAGTTTACTCTGTGTCTTTTTATGGCTTGATAGCCCATTTCTTTTTACTGCTGAATAATTTTCCTTTGTATAAATGTACAATTTGTTTATCCATTCACCTATTGAAGGACATTTGGTTGCTTCCAATTTTTAGCAATTATAAATTGCCACTCTAAGCATTCATATGCAGGTTTTTGAGTGGACTTAAATTTTCAAACCAATTGAGTAAAGACCTAGGAGCTTAATTACTGGGTTATATGGTAAGATTATGTTTAATTTTGTAAGAAACTGTCAAACTGTCTTCCAAAGTGGATATAACAGTTGGTGTTTCTGCTAGCAGTGAAAGAGAGTTCCTGCTTCTCCACATTCTTGTCAGCATTTGGTATTTGTTTGGTGTGTGTGTGTGTGTGTGTGTATGTATTTTAGCCATTCTAATCGGTGTGTAGTGGTATCTCTTCATTTAAAATTCTCTAATGACAAATGATGTTTCATCTTGTCATATGTTTATTTGCCATCTGTATATCTTCTTTGGTGAGGCATCTGTTCAGACCTTTTGCCCATTTTTAAATTGGGTTTTCTTATTGTTGAGTTTTAAGAATTCTTTTATATTTTGGATACAAGTCTTTTTGCAAATGGATACGAGTTCTCGCAAATATTTTCTCCCATTCTGTAGGTTGTCTTTTCACTTTCTTGATGGTGTCCTTTGAAGCAAAAAGTCTTTTTAATTTTGGTGAAGTCCAATATGTAACTTTTTTCTTTTGTTGCTTGTGCTTTTGGTAGCATATCTAAGGAACTATTGCCTAACCCAAGGTCACATTTACTCCTACATTTTCTTCTAAGAATTTTTATCATTTTAGTTCTTACATTTAGGTCCCTGATCCATTTTGAGTTTTTATATGTGGTATGAGGTAGGGAATCCAACTTCATTTTTTTTACATGTGTATATCTAGTCGTTCTAGCACCATTTATTGAAAAGACTATTCTTTCCCTATTGACTTGTCGTGGCATCTTTGTCAAAACGCAACTGGCCATTGTAATAATCAGAACAATGTGACCCCCTACACACACACAACATCCTAATTCGTGGAATCTACAGATGTAATATGTTACATGTCAAAGGAGAATTAAAGTTGCAGATGGAATCAAGGTTGCCATTTAGCCCACCTTAATATAGGAAAATAATCCTGCAGTATCTGGATGAGCCCAATGTAATCATAAGCATCACTAAAAGTGAAACAGAGAGACAGAAGAATTCAGAGTCAGAGGGAATGTGACTACAGAAAAAGTCAGAGTGATGTGATGTGAGAACAACTTGACTTGCCTCTCTTAACTTTGAAAATAGAGGAAGGGAACAATGAGTCAAAGAATGTAGGCTGCTTCTAGAAGTTGAAAAAGGCAAGAAAATGTATTCTACCCAGAGTCTACAGAAAGGAATGCAGCCCTGTCAGTGCCTTAATTTTGGCCTGGTGGGACTTGTGATAGACCTCTGACCTACAGAACTGTAAGATAATAAATCTGTGTCTCCAGCCACTAAATTTCTGGTTATTATGAGAGAACTAGAAAAATAATACAATTATAATGTGTTTATTTTTGGACTCTCAATTTTATTCTCTTGATCTTATATGTATATCCTCATGCCAGTACCACACCATCTTGATTATTGTAGCTTTGTAGTAAATTTTGAAATTGAGAAGTGTAAGGCCTCCAACTTTGTTCCTTTTCAAGATTGTTTTGGTTATTGTGGGTCTTTGCATTTTCATATTAATTTTAGAATCAGCTTGTCAATTTCTGTAAAAACAACTACAACACACAGCTGAAATTGTGATAGGGATTGCATTGAATCTGTTGGATCAGGTTGGATAGCACTGCCATCTTAACAACATTATGTTTTCCAATCCATGAACATGGGATGTCTTTCCATTTAGGTCTTATTTCTTTCAATGATGTTTTGTAGTTTTCACTGTACGTGTGTTACACTTTTTTCCTAAGTATTTTTCTTTCTTAATTGTTGTTTTTTAAATTTCATTTTCAGATTCTTCAGTGTTAGTGTATAGAAACAAAATTCATTTTTATATATTGACCTTATATCCCACAGCTTTGTTGAACTTATTAGTTCTAATAGTTTGTTTTTGTATGTGTGTATTCCTTAGTGTTTTATATATACAAGATCATGTCATCTGCAAATAGAGATAGTTTCACTTCTTCTTTCCAATATGGATGACTTTCATTTCTTTTTCTAGCTTAATTGCCCTGGCTAGATCTTCTAGTACAATGTTGAAGAGAAGTGGCAGGAGCAGACATCCTTGCATTGTACTTGATCATAGAGTGAAAGCATCCAATCTTTCACCGTGAAGTATGGTCCTAACTTTGGGTTTTCAGGCTGAGGAAGTTCCCTCCTATTCTTAGTTTGTTAATTATTTTTATTACAGAAGGGTGTTGGACTCTGTCAATTCTTTTCCACATCTATTGAAATGATCATGTAGGGTTTTTTGTCTCTTATTCTCTTAAAGTGGTGCATTACATTAACTTATTTTTAGATGTTAAGCCAACTCCCAGGGCATTTTTAAAAACATCCATTTTGTGCAAAGTTCTATGACTCATATACATTAATTCAGGTCATTTACAGGACATTTCTAGACATTCTAATTTCTTCTTTACAAAACTACTGTCTCACAGGCATTAGTTTCATATAGATGAAACTAAAGCAATTAGAGGGATAAAGCAACTTCCTCTGGGTCATGTGTCTGATAAGTGAGAAACCAGCATTACACCCAATTTTGACATTTTGTTCTCCTCACCCTGCCACTCTGTGTCTCCATACTCCTCAAACATCAGTCCCGGGGCAGACAGCTCCCAAGGCACAAAAAGTACAGGACTAAGGGAAAGATTCACCGACAGTCAAGTGATCCTCCTGTTACTTTAACGCTTTCAGGTAATAGCTGATCATCCAAGGGTTGAGGACGGCATCCAAGTAACTGTTGAATTCTTTCACCCCTCAACATGCTCCTCTCCTCCCTCCAGACCCTTATAATCAAACTCATTTCTAGAGATGACAGTTTTGAGGTATGGACCCCACCTTTAGCAAGCACCAGGTTAAAGCCCAGACCAGACCTTCCAGATACCTCAAACCATTCACCCGTCAGGGGCATGAACTCTTCCCCTAGGCCCTCCTGCATAGGGGTAAGGCTTCTCGCTGTAGTTTATCTGAAGATCCAAGACTGATAAAGAAGCACTCTGAACAGTTGATGGTGCTGGATCCTCTGTTTGAATACGAGATACTCTGCCTTTTGACTTCTGGTTGAACCAGATGTCTGTGTAGCCACCACCTGGCCACAAGGTTTTCCTAGAGCAGGCTTGTGCTCTTTCTTCCAGGTCCTTATTCTGAGGCCCTTCCAATCTCCACTATCCTAGATTCTCTGTGTTCCAGTCTCATTTTCCTGTCTAATCCATTTTATTCGCAGTTTCCTTAGCTTCTTACCATTTTTCCAACAACATCATCAAGTCGCCTGGGTTCTGAGGATCTGTATCTCCACTGATGCCAGAATAGACAGACCTTCTCAGGGTTCAGCAGTTCACACTTGCATGTTAACCGTCGCCATCACCTCACCCTCCTGCTTATAGTATGTGCTCCAGATGCCGCATTACAAAGTCAAACATCAAAGGCACTGAATCACATCATTTTAATACATTAACCTTCAGGCTCTTGCTTACTCTTTGATTACTCCAAATACTGTTAGACGTGGCAGTGGGGGCAGGAGATTTTGCCATGGTAATGAACAGGAATTCTGTGAAAGATAGTTCTTACAATAAACTTACTGTCCAAAGAAAGGTGCCTCACAACACCTTACAGTTCAAAACAATACCCAACACTCTGGGAATACCAATGAACATAGGACTTAATATCATAGTACCTTCATTTTTTCAATCCCTTTTCCAGAGTCTCCCATACCTTTCCCACAGCTTCTTTCAGTTCCTTTAACTCAGAAACAAGCTAAATCTCTGCCAAGGTTCACCCCAAATCCTGATGTAGAGCCTGCTGGATGAGTATTGGGCTAGCCAGAAAAAGCCCCAGCTAGAGTCCATCTACCTAGGAAAAGAGCAGTGAAGTCGCATCTGTATCTGTACCACAGTCTAGAGAGGCACACTCCACATTTATTGCAGTTGGCTCTGCCCCCACACTTGGCAACAGGCACCCCAGATCTGTTGTGTAACACAAATAAACTCACAACAACAAAACTATTAATACCACCACCTGATATCCAGATGTCTTGATCATTTTTATCTTCGTGGTTTCTAAAAGATCATTGTACCTACTATCTTATTTGACAGGATAAATATTATTATTATTTCATTATGAAGATGAGAAAATAGATGGTTAAGAAAGAGGTAAGCTCTACTAAAGAGATTGTAGATATCTGAGATTTTATAGATAGTAAGTGGGAGTCAGAACTAGAAGCTAAGTCTTCAGACTCCTTGTGCGGTGCTTTCTGCTATTCTCTGCTAAATCTGCTCTTCAGTGCGGCTTCACTATTTGTTTGAAGAAGGGTCCCAGGATATATCTTTATTCAAATGTATGTATACATATCTCAAAGTCAATGATAATTATTAATAAATCATCAGGGATGGACTCAGTAGCTCACACCTGTAATCCTCTTTGGAGAAGATGGAAAGAATTGGAAAAATATTTTTTTTTTCAGGAAGCTTATGGGACAACCTAAATAAATTAATTCAGATAAACAAATTACATCATTTTTTAAGACTATCACAAAATCTCACTAGTTTGTAAAGAGATTAGTCTCACAATTATTAATAAATATTTGCATTATAAATCATTGCAAAGAATAGGATTTTTTAAAATTATATAATGCTGTAGGCCCTATATTACAAAACAACAGAAAGTTCTTCAAAATGCATGAAATTACAGAGGAACCTAGAAGCTGAAAGTCTTTTGATTATTTTCTTAGTAGACTCTATTCTTATTCAGAGGAAAACACTCTGAACTTGTTACTTTAACAAATAAGAATCACATAACTCTCAACTGTAGTAAATACACAGTAATCTGGTCTGAACTGGTGAAGTTTTCCTATACTTCAACAGTTTGTGTAAGATTGCTGCTATAAAAAGGCAATGTCTTAATAAATATCATATATAATCATGCTTTCATATATGGTACAATTTCAGGAGAGAGGTAGACCTTCTATTTCTAGTATAAGAAAGAACATGGACTTTGGAGCCTGCCACACCTGGTTCCAATCCAAACCACTTATAAGTTATTTGACCTTGAGAGTTATTACTTTGCCTCCCTGAGCTTGAGCTTCCTCTTCTGTAAAAAGGGACACCATCTACCTTACAGAGTTAACGTAAAGATTAATGAGTTAATATGTATAATATGCAGAGTTGTTATATTTACCTAAATCAGGGGTCAGCAAACTTTTTCTGTAAAGGTTCAAATAGTAAAATACTTTATACTGATGACAGAGTCATCAGTCTCTGTCAAAACTACTCAATTCTGCCACTGTAGCACCAAAGCAGCCACAGACAATGTGAGTAAGACTATGTTCCAATAAAACATCACAAAAAGAAGCCACAGGCTGGCCCACAGGCCAAGTTTGCCAATCCTTGATATAAATTTTTCAGCATAGTGTCTGGCACATAGTGGGTGCTCAATATATGATCGCTGCTGTGATCATTATTTTATTGCTCCCTATTACGGCCAACAAACACCCAAATAATTGATCCATTATCTTCCATATTGTTACTGGATCACAGATGCTAAGGTTAAAGGAAGCTTTTAAGACAATGGGATTTAGTTCAATACTTAAATCCCTTCTATGACAACATCCCATGAATGGTTGTCCAATGTCTGAACAACTCCAACAACAAGGAAACCACTGTATAAGCAGCCCTGTCTCTTGTCAGGTAGTTTTGAGTGTCTCTGAAAGCTTTTTAGTGTTAGCTCAAGTTCAATGTGATTCAACTTTATGAGCATCTGCTGAGCCTCTGATGTGTTCCAGACTCTACTACATGCTGGAAACACAAAGATGAGTAAGATGCAACCTCTACCTCCAACTTCTCACTGGACTTACTTAGCCTGTGTGATGGTTAATACTGACTGTCAGCTTGATTGGATTGACAGACACAAAGTATTGATCCTGGGTGTGTCTGTGAGGGTGTTGCCAAAGGATATTAACATTTGAGACAGTGGGTTAGGAAAGGCAGACCCACACTTAATCTGGGTGGGCACCATCTAATCAGCTGCCAGGGTGGCTGGAATATAAAGCAGGCAGAAAAACATGAAAAGACTACACTGGCCTAGCCTCCCAGCGTACCTCTTTCTCCCGTGCTGGATGCTTCCTGCCCTTGAACATCAGACTCCCAAGTTCTTCAGTTTGGGGACTCAGACTGACTGTCCTTGCTCCTCAGCCTGCAGACAGCCTATTGTAGGACCTTGTGATTGTGTGAGTTAATGCTTAATAAACTCAATACTTAATTGAGTTAATTAAGTTAATAATTAAAAGTTAATACTTAATAAACTTAAATACTTAATAAATAATAAACTTAATACTTAATAAATAGGAGATATATATATCTCTCTCGTACTAGTTCTGTCCCTCTAGAGAACCCCAATACAGCCTGCTAAAACAAGTCTCATAATCTCCCACACGTGACAGTCATTTAGATGTTTGAGGGTAATGCCCTGAGTTTTCTCAGGTTCCAAACACTTAATTTCTTCAACCATAAGTTCCCTTATCATCTCTTCATACTGCCTTCCTCTGGATGTAAGATTCCTAAATGCCCTACAAAGAAGCCTAGGTGTGGCTGGCCAGTGGATGATGAGGCCGACTTACCACTCTGCAGATTTAGTTTAGTGCCAGCAACCTGATCATATTTGCCTCTCGGGAACTAGTCCGGCCTCATTTGCCTAACTCATGTCTACATTCCTTTAATTTTCCTAGTGGTTCTATAGAATTAGAACTAAATGGTAGCTTTTAGATGATATGGCAACCACTGATGTTTTATTTTCCTTAAAGAAAAGATTTAGGCCGGGTGTGGTGGCTCACACCTATAATCCCAGCACTTTGGGAGGCCGAGGCAGGGGGATCACCTGAGGTCAGTTCGAGACCAGCCTGGCCAACATGGTGAAACCCCATCTCTACTAAAAAAAAAAAAATACAAAAATTAGCCAGACATGGTGGTGTGCACCTGTAATCCCAGCTACTCTGGAGGCTGAGGCATGAGAATTGCTTGAATCCGGGAGGTGGAGGTTGCAGTGAGCCGAGATCGCACCACTGCACTCCAGCCTGGGTGACAGAGACTCTGTCTAAGAAAAAGAAAAAAAAAAAAAAAAAGAAAGAAAGAAAGAAAATGTTTAGCCTAACTAGCAGAGTACCTGTTTTTACTTGATCCAGCCTGATGGGTAGTAAAATAGCATTTGTCAGCTGAATTGATGTGATTAACTAAAAAATGTACAAAATTGGTGTGAAAACTTCTACCTATCTACTAATGAGCAACAAAGTCACAGCTCCAGCTCCCATCTCTCTCTTGGGTTCCAAATAAGTGATTCTTTCTGCATATCAGAAATTTCCACTTGGATGTCATATAGGTATCTCAAACTCAATGTGTACAAAAGTAAACTTAATCTCAATTCTCTAAAATAGATCTTTCTCCTGTTTTATCACTCCATCTTGGTAAATGGCTTGCCTATCCACCTGGATGTCTGAGTCAGAAAAATCAGCGCATTCTTCATTCCACCATCTCCTTCCCCTTTGACAACTAAACACTTCCTAAAATCTGATAATTCTACCCATCTCCTGGATTTGTCTCACACATTTATCCTTTATGCATTTCATAAACTGCAGGTTGCAACTAGTCAATGTGTCATGAAATAAACTGAGTAAGCTTTAATCTGCATATTTAAGAATAAAATAGACTTCTCCCTCAAAGTAGAATAGAATAGTTTGTGGCAGATTAACACTCCTGCAAAGACCTAGAAAAAAAAGGATTAAAATATGTTTGTTCAAACTACTATGGAAAACAGTATGGACATTCATTGAAGAACTAAAAGTGGAACTACCATTTGATTCGGCAATCCCACCGGGCATCTACCTAAAGGAAAAGAAGTCATATGAAAAAGACACATGCACACACGTTTATAGTAGCACAATTTGCAATTGCAAAGATACGGAACCAACATAAGTGCCCATCAACCAACCAGTGGATAAAGAAAATGTGGTATATATACACCACGGAATACTACTCAGCCACAAAAAGGAATGAAATGTCTTTTGCAGCAACCTGGATGGAGCTGGAGACCATTATTCTAAATAAAGTAACTCAGGAATGGAAAACCAAATACATGTTCTCACTTGTAAGTGGGAGCTAAGATATGAAGATGCAAAAGCACCAGAATGATATAATGAACTTTGGGGACTCAGGGGGCAGGGTGGGAGGTAGGTGAGGGATAAGAGACTACACATTTGGTGCAGTATACACTGTTTGGGTAACAGGTGCACCAAAATCTCAGAAATCACCACTAGAGAACATATCCATGTAACCAAAAACCACCTGTACCCCAAAAACTACTGAAATAAAAATTATTAAAGAAATAAAAAATTAAAAAGTGTTCAAAAGCATCAGGGAGCTGCTGAAGCAATGAGGATGAATAACCAAAATCTGGAGAGGAGAGACCTGCAGAGAGGTGACCCCAGGCTTTATCCAGACAGAGGGGCACTGCCAAGGATCAGAGAAACAGCAGAGCTTTGTATGTTTGTACAGGGCTACAGTAACAAAACTGGAGACTTGGGGAGCCTCAAACACATAGTCAGTCTCCCCAAGACATTCTGAAGCTGTGCAAAGCTGGAAGTAAAAGATTAAACCAAAAACTAACCAAAGCAGTTTTCCACAATCTTGTAGTGTTGAGGACGCAAAACTTAGATATCTTTCAGGACCTGTTGGGAGCATGGATCTTGGTAAATACAGCAGGCTCTCAGTTGAAAGCCCTGGTTCAACTGAAAACATCAGTTCAGTACTGATGGAATTAATTTGATCACCCTTGACCCTCTCTGCATGACAGAGAAACACTGAATTCTCCTTGAGGAAGATATCATCTGAAGCTTTAACAGTTTTTAATACACAGTATCTAGCATTCAATAAAAATTACTAGACATTCTAAGAAACGTGTTGAAAAACAAAGGGAAAAAATATACAATAAAAATTTACCCACAGGTGATTCTGAAACTAGAGTTTTATTAGACAAGGACATTTTAAAAATTGCTGAGATTTATGTCCAAGAAAACAAGACAAAATGAAGAGACGAAAAGAAGAAAAATTGCACTGGAGAATTATGTTTTAATCAAATAAAAATTTTAAAGTTAAAAACACAATAGCTACACTGACGAATCAATATAAGCCAGGTGCAGTGGTGCACACCTGCAATCCCAGCTACTTAAGAGGCTGAAGCAGGAGGATCACTTGAGCCCTGCAGCCAAAAATGGTTAGCTGGATTTAACTCATTGAGCCCAGGATTAAAGACCAGCCTGGGCAACATAGTGAAAATCCATCTCTTAAAAACATTTCAAAAATCAAAATGTTTACAATTTTAAAAAAGAAATAATCTTTTTCAGTGTCTAGAAAGACTCCATTAAAAAAATAAAAACAATCAATACATAAGTATGACTGCAGATTACACACAACAAGAAGACAAAGTTAATGAGCTAGAAGACATGTTAGTAAGTAAACTGAAGCACACAAAGAGTGGAAAACATACAAAAGGGAATAAAAGTATGTGAGACACAAGGAAAAGGTTTAACTTACATGTAAGTGGAGCCTCAGAAGGAAAGACTAGAGCAGAAGCAGTATTTGAAGAGATAACAGTAGAGAATTTTTCAAAACTGGTAAGACATCTACATAAAGATTCAAGTCTCTCAACTAACTCCAACCGGCATAAATTCCAGAAAACAAAACAAACAAAAAAATGTACATCAAAGTCAAAGTCAAAATCAAAAACAAATAAAAATAATTTTTTAAGCAGCCAGAGGAAAAGAAACATTACCTTCAAAGAAGCAACAATGAAACTGACAGCTGATTTCTCAAAAGAAATGATTGAAACCAGAAGACAATGCAATGACATCTTTAAAATGCTGAAAGAACAGGCAGGAAAGCAAACTTGCCCATCTGGAATTCTATTCCTAGGGGGAAAATCTTTTTAACATGAAAGTAAAATAAAAATGTCTTCAAACAAAATGAGAATTTACCACCAGCAGACCTGCACTAAAACGCATATAAAAGGGGGTTCTTTATGCCAAGTTTAGCAAAAAAAAGACCCAAGATAAAAACATAGAAATGCAGGAAGAAATCAAGGGCAATGAAGTGGGTAAATCTAAATGAATACTAATTGTAAAACACAGTAACTGCAATGTCTTTTGAAATTTAAAATGCAGACAACAATAATGCAAATTGCAGAAAGGAGTAATGTATTTAAACTATTGGAAAATGTTTGCTTTGTTTGGAAAATGCTATGGTAGACTATAATAAACTAACATGCATATTAAAATCTAGTATGGCCACTAACAAGGGAGCAAACAAATGTATAACATGTTAATAGATGGTGAATAATAAAATAATATAAAGTATTTGAACTAAAGGAAGGCAAGGAGAGAAAGATGAGTATAAAATGGGTGGATTAAAAGAAAAACAAATAGTAAAATGGTAGCTGTAAATTCAACTATATAATTATATTAAAAATAAATTGGTTGTAATTCACTATATAAACAAATTTAAGAGAAAACCCATGTAATCGTCTTGATACAGAAAAAGGATATGACAAAATTCAGCATTCATTCATGAACAAAAATCTAAACAAACTAGGAAAAGAAGGGCTCTTCATTGAACTGATGGCAAACATCTATGAAAAACCCAGTTAACATCATACCTAATGGTAAAAGAATTATTCTTTCCCCATAAAATCATGAACAAGGCAGGAATGTTTTCTCTCACCACTTTTATTCAATATCATACTGGAGGTCTTTGCCAATGTGATATGGTAAGAATAAGAAATAAAAGGCACAAAATTTGAAAAGGAAAAAAAAATGGCTTTATTCACAAATGACATGACTATTTACACAGAAAATCCTTAAGAATCTACCAAAAAAAGCTACTAGAATTACTAGTGAGTTTAGGAAAGTTGCAAAATACAATGCCAATATATAAAACCCAATTGTGTTTCTATAATGAACAATTAGAAATTGAAATTTTAAAAATACCAGTTCAAAGGCATCAAAAACACATGGAGGCACTGATGAGACAAATTAAAGACGACCAAAAACCATGTTCACGAATCAAAAGAATCAATATCTTTCCTGACATGACCTAAAAAAAGAAATCAGGCTGGGCGCGGTGGCTCCATTCCTGTAATGCCAGCACTTTGGGAGGCCAAAGTGGGCAGATTACTTGAGATCAGGAGTTTGAGACCAGCCTGGCCAACATGATGAAACCCTGCCTCTACTAAAAATGCAAAAATTAGCTGGGTGTGGTGGCACGTGCCTGTAGTCCCAGCTACTTGGGATGCTGAGGGAGGAGAATCACTTGAACCCAGGAGGCGAAGGTTGCAGTGAGCCCAGATCGCGCCACTGAACTGCAGCCTGGGCAACAGAGGGAGAATCCGTCTCAAAAAGAAAACAAAACAAACAAAAAAACCTCTCATATGTGCTAATAACTGTTGGTAGTTCCTTCTACAAACACACTGACCACAGGATCCATTAATTCCATTCCTGGATAGTTACCTAAGTGAAATGAAAACACATGGCCGGGCGCAGTGGCTCACGCCTGTAATCCCAGCACTTTGGGAGGCCGAGGCGGGTGGATCACGAGGTCAGGAGATCGAGACCATCCTGGCTAACACAGTGAAACCCCGTCTCTACTAAAAATAAAAAAAAATTAGCTGGGCGTGGTGGCAGGCGCCTGTAGTCCCAGCTACTCGGGAGGCTGAGGCAGGAGAATGGCGTGAACCCAGGAGGCGGAGCTTGCAGTGAGCCGAGATTGCGCCACTGCACTCCAGTATGGGTGACAGAGCAAGACTCCGTCTCAAAAAAAAAAAAAAAAAAAGAAAACACATGCATACATCAAAACCTGCACACGGATGATTACAGCAGCATAAAAGCCCAAAAGTAAAAACTCAAAAGTCCTTCAACTGGTGAATAAACACATTTTGGTATATCCAATTGACTACTGTCAACAATATTATTCAAACTATTATTCAACAATAAAAAATGAGCTACTAATATAGACAACCACATGGATAAGTCTCAAAATCATCATGCTAAATGAAAAGAAGTTATACCCAACTCCCATGTAGTAAACGATTCCACCTATATAATACTCTGGAAAAAAAACAAAACTATAGAGATGGAAGTCCTATCAGTGATTGCAAGGGCCTGGGAGAAGAAAGGATTGCCTATAATATAAAAGAGCAAGATGAAACTTTTTAGGGTGATGGAAACATTCTAATCTCAACTATGGTGGTAGTTACACAACTACATATATTCATCAAAACTCATCAAAGTGTACATCTAAAAAGGGTAAATTCCACCATATGTAAATTATATCTCAATAAACCTGATCCCCCAAAAGGATTTTAAAGTAAATGTGCTAAAGAACTCTAATTTAAAGATTACAATTGTCAGACTAGATGTTTATAAGAGAAAATAGAATATGTTGTCACTTACAGTAAGGCTAAGCAGTGCTTCATATATGTTTATATGTGATGGATCCCAAAGTCATTAGGGAAACGTAAATTAAAAGCAAATGAGATAGATACTACTAACACACTACAAGTGCTTCCATCATGTGTACTTGTTTCTTGCTGTGGCTAGGGTCAAAAACTTTTGAGAATCATTGTTTCAAACCACGCCACTTCCCATAGGGATAGAAGATTAATCATACCTCTATATTTTATAAAAATAGGTAAATTGGACTTCAGAAAATTGAAAACTTTTGTTCTTCAAAATACACTATCAAGAAAGTTAAAAAGCCCACATAATGGAAAAAACATTTGCATATCATATATTATATATATTATCATATAGCTGGTAACAGACATACCTAGAATATATAAAGAACTCTTACAATTCAACAATAAAAACATAACCCAATTTAAAATGTGCAAAGGATCTGAACAGACATTTCTCCAAGAAAGATATACAAATGGCCAAAAGCATATTAAAAACTGCTCTACATCATTAATCATCACGGAAAAGACAATCAAAACCACAATGCCATACCACTTTACACCCACTAGGATGACTAAAATTAAAAAAACAGATAACAAGTGTTTGACAGAATGTGGAAAAGTTAGAACCCTCGTACATCACTGGCAGGATCATAAAATGGTGCAGTGGCTTTGGAAAAACAGTTTGATAGTTCCTCAAAATGTTAAATGACCCAGCAATTCTGCTCCTAGGTATATATACAAGAGAAATGAAAACATGTCCACACAAAACTTGTATATAAGCATTCACAGCAGCATTCATAATAGCCAAGTGGAAACAATCCAAACGTCTATCAAGTGATAAATAAAATGTCACATATCCATACAGTGGAATATTATTCAGTTATCAAATGAAGTACTGATATATGCTACATTATAAATCTTGAAAATGTTATGCTACGTAAAAATAACTAAACCCCAAAGGTCTTACATTGCATGATTCCATTTATATGACATACACCAGTCAAATTCATAGAAACAGAAAGTAGGTAAGTGGTGGCCAGGGGCTGGGGGGTGGGGTATGGGGAGTGACCGGTAACAGGTATGGGGCTTCTTTTTGACATGATAAAAATGTTCTAAAATTACATTGTGGTGATGGTTGCACAACTATGAATATACTTTTATTTTATTTATTTTTTTGAGATGGAGTTTCACTCTGTCACCCAGGCTGGAGTGCAGTGGCACAATCTCGGCTCACTGCAACTTCCACCTCTCAGATTCAAGTGATTCTCCTGTCTCTGCCTCCCAAGTAGGTGGGATTACAGCCACATGCCACCATACCTAGCTACTTTTTTGTGTTCTTAGTAGAGACGGGGTTTCACCATGTTGGCCAGGCTGGTCTCAAACTCCTGACCTCAGGTGATCCACCCACCTCGGCCTCTCAAAGTGCTGAGATTACAGGGATAAGCCATGGCGCCCGACCTGAATACACTCTTAAACCCCCACTGAATTGTACACACTTTAAAGGGGTAAATCTTATGATATATGAATTACATCGTAACAAAGCTGTTGTTAAAATATTAAAAACCCTTTGACAGCTCTCCTTTGCCAAAACACTTATTTTAATGGGGCATTCAAGTACTTTCATGACTTATTTCCATCTAAACTTTCAATCCTCATCTACTGTCATTTCCCGCTTCCACTACCTTCTGCTTCTACCCCAAACACATAATGACATTTTATAATTCCCTGTCTTTGCACATATTGTTCTCTCAAAAATGTCATGTCCCAAGCTGGGGTGGTGGCTCATGCCTGTAATCCCAGCACTCTGGAGGGCTGAAGTGGGAGGACTGCTTGAGATCAAGAGTTTTGAGATCAGCCTGGGCAGCATAGTGAGACCCTGTCTGTACAAAAAGTAAAAAAATTTGCTGGGTGTGGTGGCGCACGCTTGTAGTACCAGCTACTTGGGAGGCTGAACCGGGAAGACTGCTTGAGCCCAGGAGGTCGAGGCTGCAGTGAGCTGAGATCACGCTACTGCACTCCAGCCTGGGTGACAGAGTGAGACTGCGTCTCAAAAAAAAAAGAAAGAAAGAAAGAAAAAAAGTCATACTCCTCACTCTTCTCTTTCTGCTGAACTCCTATATATCCTTCAATGACAAATGCTGTTTCTTCCAAGAATTCATTTCTAATTCCATGCAAAGTGGGTGGGTCCCGCTATGCTACAAATACAGTTAGTAAATCCTTGGGTTTACTAGACAGTAGCAGCTTCAGCCTGAGGACCTAATGCTTGTAAGCACTTAGTAAACATTTATTGAATAAATGAATGACAAAACATTCCCTTCACTACTGACCAGAAGGAGTGCTATTTTTTCTCCAACTAGTTTAATTGGTGAAATCCATACCAATATAACTTGAGTTCTAGCCTTTGGAGACCAATAAAATGAAATAAAAATACAAATTTGGGGCCAACATTGAGACTTAGGGAAATTACCATAAAGTAACATTTCAGGGGGGGTTCATAGTTCGGATACTTATCATTTGTTGACCAAACATACTTAAAGTCAATACTCTTTTATTCAACATATTAAATGTGTTGTTTAACTCTGGTAACCACAGCTGTGACAGTTAACGATCTCAATAAATCCTACTTAAATCAGACAGGAAAAAATTATGCAAATGAATTCTTATCTGTTTTTCTGCCCAAGGCATATTTGATAACAGATAAAACATACTCCAAATAGTCTCTACTTAATAGTCAGGAAGCCATTTGAGGTTTTATTTGGATCAAAATCAAATACAAAAAAGAGAAGCCTGCTATATTCACAAATGGTTTTATTTCAGAAAGAAATTACACATTACAAAGAGACATAGTTAAGAGCTTACATTCACATATGGAAGTGAATCTAAGAAAGTCAACAATTATTAATATACAAAACCACATGATTAAAAAAGACAGTAACATAATGACAGATGGGCTTGATTTAGATTCATACACAAAATAATATCTTTTGTTTAAAAACAAAGAGATATTGGTCTTAAGATAGCTCTTTAGAAACAAGTTGGTAGTTCCAATGAACTTTAAAATCAAAGCGATCATAACAGTCTTTATGTAGGCTGTATCACACCCACACTCATCCGGCAGGATGGAAGAATCCATCAATTATACCTTGCAGCTAGATAGGATGTCTTCCACTAATCTTTTGTAAACCCAGGCATCGCCCTTAAGCCGCTGCCTCCTGATACCCACCACATCGGGTTTTTGAAGCTGGCACACTTCTAATTCAAATTGCATTGTCACTTTCCCAAAATCTGACTGTGTTTGACACTTCAGTGTATAACTGTGAAAAACAAGATAAGAAGCTAGTTAGTAGGAGAACCATATTCTGTATAAGAGTTTTCTAAGCCTCTAGGAGGCCAGTGGAGGAAATGAACCATTATTTCATATTAAGCAATGTATTACTGTTTACAGTTTCCAAATGACCTAGCTATGCTTTAGTAATAGAGTATGACTGGTGTTTTCCCAGAAACTGAACTAGGATCCTAAGAATAAGCATGAAAAGGCTTTATTACAAGTCTCCCTTGCTCCAAAGAAAAGCCCCTGTTTCATAGCTATACATGCCATTCATGCTCAAGAAATCTGGCATTCTTTATGCAATCCTTTCAACGTGTAATCCGCAAACATTGGGCATTTCCACAACATTCACAACAAAGGAAAGCGCAAGAAAGATAATATTTCATGTGTGTGAGCCTTGTCAGAAACTTGTCTTTCATATAAATAAAGCTGAAGCCAGTAACCTGTCAGAAAGGCACGTGTGTTTTTGAGGTTTTTCT